>NC_000012.12:43672249-43823764 GCF_000001405.40 Homo sapiens | reverse complement strand
TGAGGTGGGTGGATCACGAGGTCAACAGATCGAGACCATCCTGGCCAACATGGTGAAACCCCGTCTCTACTAAAAATACAAAAATTAGCTGGGTGTGGTGGCGCGTGCCTGTAGTCCCAGCTACTTGGGAGCCTGAGGCAGAAGAGCCTGAGGCTTGAACCTGGGAGGCGGAAGTTGCAGTGAGCCAAGATCACGCCACTGTGCTCCAGCCTGGAGACAGAGTGGAACTCTGTCTCAAAAAAATAAATAAATAAAGAAATAAAAATGAAATTACACTCACACAAATTTGTTCTCTCTACTGTGAGATTGTTTTCAGCCTCACCAAAAAATGTAGTTATCCTTTTCTTGATCATCTCATCGTTTAGCCTCAATAAATGTATAGTATAATGGAAAGGAGGTAGATTTTTGGAGTTAGGCCTGGGTTCAAATTCTACTTTGCTACCTTTTCTATCTGTGAACTTGGCCAAGTTGTTTAACCTCTCTGAGACACATACCCATATCTAACATTTTTGGCTAATAACATAAAATGTATGGACTGCAGTGAGGATTAAATGAAATAGTATAAGTAAACACATCCTGGCACATCTCCTATTACCTTCTTAATACATCAAGTTTCATTCCAGTGGATAGTAGGCCTAATAAATGTCCTCAAATTTTTATAATAAAATTTCTGTATAAATGCTTTGCCATAAATTCAATGGAAAAGTATCATCATACCCTCTGGGTCCATGACTTTGACTTGATATCCCTTAAACGTGTACTGTGGGTTCCATTTGTACAATAAGTCTAATAGTTATAATTATCTCTATTAAAGAGAGAAAAAGGTTTTCAAATTTCAGTAGATTACCCTTTTTTTTTTTTTCGAGACAGGGTCTTACTCTGTTGCCCAGGCTGTAGTGCAGTGGCATAATCTCTTCTCATTGCAATGCAACCTCTGCCTCCTGGGCTCTAGTGATCCTCCTACCTCGGCCTCCCAAGTAGCTGGGAATACAGGCAGCTACCACCATGCCTGGCTATTGCCACTTATTTCAATCAATATTTCATTCATCCTCTCAGCAAAAATTTACTGTCTACTATAGGAGCAGCTAAAAGAACATCATCCCTGCTCATCTGATAGAAAAATAATAGAGACAGGTAAACATATCATTTATTATACTACCATATAGAAACTGAGGAATAAGTGTCTCATGAGAACACAGAGTACTGGATCACCAGTTTCACCTAGGCATATGAAAGGATTCACAGAGTGACAAAGTGAGACTCTATCTAAAAAAAAAAAAAAAAAGATATTTAAAGATTTGATAAATACTAGGCTATGGCCATCTATAAAATTACACAAATTAATTTTGTCACCAAACTGAACTGTGCTAAATCATTACTGGAAAATCATTAATGTAGTGTAATAAATGATACGAATTTACTTAAGTCTGAAAAACCAAAGTTTGTAATGTGTTCTGAGAGTTTCTCTGTCCAATTTAACAACAAGAAAATAAAAATCTTGTTTTAATGTGGATGTTGGGTAATTATCTGGGCTCACGCAAGAGTTAAGTAACTGTCTTCCCAAAGCCAATCTCGCATTGAAGTCAACTCACATTTGTGCCTTAGTAAAAATACACATAAAAAAATGCACTGGAATACATCTTCAGTACCCTAGAGAAGTCCTGAAATCTTGAATATCGGTTCCATGTCCATAAATGTCTGGACCTCTTACAGTTATAAAAACTCTTTGAGACTCATCATCTTTTGCTTCCTCATGAAAGAGACAGGCAAAATTATACATTCACAACAACATGGTCACACCCACAGCTAGGTCACCCAACATAGTGTTCTAGGCCATCATGGCTGACACCTTAGAAATGCACAAAATAATACTTTTTTAAAAATGCTTTAAAAACTTACCTTTCTTGAGAGGAACCAAATCCCTGCCCTTCTCCGCTAAAAACAAAACAATGATTTAATATTTGGTATCCTTGCAGATAGTCACATTTGAAGTATAACACAAACAGAATACAAATGGAAATCATGAAAGACGGGCTTATTCAGCTCTGCCACTGCTGATTTGTATCATCCTGGATAAGTTACTTAACTCTGTGCTTTCAGGGCCTCAATGCATTTTCATAAACTTTAGTAGATTCAGGCATTTTGGGGAATATGAAATTAATATACAAAATCTTAAGACTTCTTGGCTGGGCACAGTGGCTCACAATTGTAATCCCAGCACTTTGGGAGGCTAAGGTGGGAGGATTGCTTCAGCCCAGGAGTTTGAGACCAGCCTGGGCAACATGGTGAAAATCTGTTTCTATAAAAAATACAAAAATTAGCCAGGTCTGGTGGTGTGTGCCTGTAGTCCCAGCTACTTGTGAAGCTGAGGTAGGAGAATTGCATAAGCCCAAGAGGTTGAGGCTGCAGCCAGCTATGATCACACCACTGCACTCCAGCCTGTTAAGACCTCTGTGGGCACCCAAGGTTCATCCCATGTGCTTATGTGTATTTTTGCTAAGGCAGAAGATTTCTTCATGATTTCAGTCACACAATAAGGGTATTGGATTAAAAAATATTTGCTTAGTCCCTAAAATTCTATAGTCCTAAATAATTTGTATCAAGTGGTAATGCAAATTTTATTCATTTTGTGTCTTTATGCTTTTTTTTTCTTTTTTTTTTTTTTAATGTGAGAGGGAGTCTTGCTTTGTTGCCCAGGCTAGAGTGCAGTGGCGCGATCTCGACTCACTGCAAGCTCCGCCTCCCGGGTTCATGCCATTCTCCTGCCTCAGCCTCCCAAGTAGCTGGGACTGGAGGCGTCCGCCAACACACCTGGCTAATTTTTTGTATTTTTAGTAGAGACGGGGTTTCACCGTGTTAGCCAGGATGGTCTCCTGACCTCGTGATCCGCCTGCCTCGGCCTCCCAAAGTGCTGGGATTACAGGCGTGAGCCAACGCGCCCGGCCACTTTATGCTTCTTATAGAAAGACAGAAGGGTTTGGCAAACATTTAACTTATTACTTGTCTATGTGTGTTTGAGACTAATTTCTATTTGTGAGTAAGCAGTGCCCTTCCTGCTGTCTTTTGATTATGAGGACAATAAAGTGGGCAAAATGCATAAAATTGCACACCTGCAGAATAACAATGCTTGCTACATATTTTTCTACAGCAATGTATTGATTCTATAAAAAAAAAAAAAAAAAATACGCCTGTGGCCAGGCGTGGTGGCTCATGCCTGTAATCCCAGCACTTTGGGAGGCTGAGGTGGGCGGATCACGAGGTCAGGAGATCGAGACCATCCTGGCTAACACGGTGAAACCTCGTCTCTACTAAAAATACAAAAAATTAGCCGGGCGTGGTGGCCGGCGTCTGTAGTCCCAGCTACTCGGGAGGCTGAGGCAGGAGAATGGCGTGAACCCGGGAGGCGGAGCTTGCAGTGAGTGGCGACTGTGCCACTGCACTCCAGCGTGGGCGACAGAGCGAGACTCCATCTCAAATAATAATAAACAAAAATACAAAAATTAGTTGGGCGTGGTGGCGCACGCCTGTAGTCCCAGCTACTTGGGAGCCTGAGGCAGGAGAATCGCTTGAACCGGAGAGGCGGAGGTTGCAGTGAGCCGAGGTTGCGCCACAGCACTCCACTTGGCAAAAACAAAAACAAAAACAAAAACAAAAACAAAAAAAAATACACCTGTAATTACACCCTGTTAAGAGCTAGAGAGGTAGAATATCTGAAAGCACATGCAATGGATAATAATGTTTTCTTTTCTCTTTTTTTTACAAGTTTAATTTTACCATATTTATTCAACTGCCTTTATGTGGGAAATATAAGCTTAGATCTTTCCATATAGAAGAGAACCACAAAATAATTAGGATGCCAAATACAACTCTTTTGTAGAATTCAGCATCAGCCTACAGAGTTTCATACTGTAATGATGCCCCTTCCTTCCCTCCTTCCTTCCTTCTTTCCTTTCTCTCTCTCTCCCTCTCTCTCTCTTTCTCTCTTTTTTTTTGACAGAGTCTCGCTCTATCGCCAGGCTGGAGTGCAGTGGCGCAATCTCGGCTCACCGCAACCTCCGCCTCCTGGGTTCATGCGATTCTCCTGCCTCAGGCTCAAGAAGAGTAGCGGGGACTACAGGCGCGCGCCACCACGCCCAGCTAATTTTTGTATTTTTAGTAGAGACGAGGTTTCACCATGTTGGTCAGGATGGCCTCGACCTCTTGACCTCGTGATCCGCCTGCCTCAACCTCCCAAAGCGCTGGGATTACAGGTGTGAGCCATCCCGCCCAGCCGCCTGTTTCAATTTAACCACCCAGTCATGGGTACTATAATAGAGAAAATCAATGCTGTTGGGTCAGACATCTCTTCTGAAATACCATAAGGGGAAATGCAATACTTTTCTGAGAAACAAGATAGGAAAGTTCAGCTTACAGTGGAATCTGCCACCAATCAAACTTTAGAATCAAAAATCAGAAAGATCTACAATAAATAGAAAGACTTGAAGACCGGTGGAGGCCTTCACTCTTTTTTTCCTTTACCAAAACTAAGAAGCAAGAAAGCAAGTAAGAATTTGGCATACACTATGTCTACAGTACATCATAGAAAGTGGATTTTTAGGTCTACAATCAAACAACTGGTTCAACAAATCCCTCCTTCCCCTCCTCCCCTCCGCCATGTATTTGGTGACTTAATCCCTAGCTGTGGGGTAATGTTGCCTCTCCCTGTACAATTCTGTATCTTTAGTTTCTTATTAACCCTGTGTTCTCAATCTATGCATCACATCATGGAGAATTATGGGAACCCTATCGGTTTTGTTAGAGTGATGTGGCACTGAGATGTATTTAAAATTGAAAGAACAAATGACAAGGAAGGAAAAAGAAAGTTATAGGAAGAAATAAAAAGTGGAAAGAGGTTCCTTTAAAATATTATGGATGTACATACTCCTCTAATTTCTATTTCTGACTCCATTAAAATGTGTATCAAAATCTGAACTGAGACCATAAGGGTAATATTAAAATGTTAAGATTAAAAGAACAGATACAGGCCAGGTGCGGTGGCTCATGCCTGTAATCCCAGCACTTTGAGAAGCCAAGGCGGTCGGATCACGAGGTCAAGAGATCGAGACCATCCTGGCCAACCAACATGGTGAAACCCCGTCTCTACTAAAAATACAAAAATTAGCTGGGCATAATGGCACACGCCTGTAGTCCCAGCTACTCGGGAGGCTGAGGCAGGAGAATTGCTTGAACCCGGGAGGCGGAGATTGCAGTGAGCCAAGATTGCACCACTACACTCCAGTCCAGGCGACAGAGCGCGATTCCATCTCAAAAAAAATAAAAACAAAAAAAAAACACAAAAAAAAAACAGATACAAATTTCAAAGTAAGAAAACTAGGTTAAGGTGGGTGGGGTGTGGGAGTGGGGGGAGCAGATTGTTTATAAATTAGAAAAAAAGGTGTTTAAAAGTTCATTTTATTTTCCAGTAAATAGAAGGAAAAAATGTCAGTACTTACTTATATGTACTTTCTATTCTCACAGGAAATTTGATGCACTCAAACATTTAAAGCTTATCACATATAAATGGGTAGAAGTGAGAATGTATTTGTATAACTTTGTTTGCAAGTTTTAACGTGCATGGAGAGGGGAAAAATCAAAGTCCTTTATTTCAATAACAGTATGAAAGTGGACTTAAATTAACATTCTACAAACTCATCAGAGAGGCATCCTTGAAAAGTTAAACCTCTCCCATATTTTAGAGCTGCTAAATAAGTGCAAGTATATACCTGTGCTATAACTAAGTACATATTTTCAAGCAGTAGAAGTCAAAAGTGGACATGGAGTCTCCTTGTTTCTTTATATTTTTTAAAAATAGCTTCTTCACTCATGAGATAAACTGAGATATGGCTCTAAATTTAGTTCACAAAACTAAACTCTCTGAAGAATAAAGCTTTTATGCTTGCATTAATGTAGCTGATATGAGTAAATTTTATGCAAGTGGAGAATTATGAAATAATTCATAGTCCAATCCTGAGCTTAGAAAAGAAGTGTATTTTTATTTTTTTCTGCATTGATGCTAAGTGGAATCAACTAATCTAATAAAGTGTACCTTCAGAAATACTCTAGGATGACTGTGTTCATATACTAACATAATTTATTGCCTGAAAAATAAAAGGTGATTTTTTTCTTAACTCAAAGGAATGATGTAGTTCCTTGTAAGTCCACTCTGAAATATTTAAATAGTTTCCACTGCCTTCAGTAATGGAAGAGTTTCTTAGGTGCTGCCTAAATATATAAAAATCCTAAGCTCATTCCAGTCATTTAAGGTCATAAATTCAAGTTTTGCTTTTGTCAATTCAGGACTCCAAATGGAAATAAACAAATGTATATATTCTTTTCAATCATATAATCAAGGGAATATCTCCTAAATCATCCTCATTATTCTCCCAAGAGGAGTTTTTATTCAATCACTATGTTTTCAAAACATAACTCTTATAGCAGAAATATATTTCCCTAACTAGCTCATTATCCCTTCAGGTAAGGCCAACACATTTGACAGAGATCCACAAAGGTTATTTTTCTGAGTGTAGGTTAACAGGCACAGTTTGTACCCAAATTGCTTTTCCTGAAAATTGAAAACTCTATGAATTTTTACTCAATTCTGTGTCACTTATTTCTATTTTAAGAAGAGCATATTAAAACCAGTATTTAGATTCATTTAAATGTGGGCCTTTCAAAGGCCCTACATCTGCTCAGAATGCTGAAGAATCCAGTGTGCTCTTTGATGGCTCAAAGAGCTAGGCAGCCAGGATATTTCTGCATTCTTTCACAGTTCCCAGTTTCCCAATAACTTCAATTTATTCCAAATTCCTAATGCATTCAGGTTGTGCGAAATGTTAATTATACCATCTTGTATAAAATTAATATACATCAGATGTCAGATAAATTAATGCTGGCATCATATTATAGTTTGGGTCTCAGGTAGTTTATTTTCAATAACTTCAACAATATTGATGTTTCATTTTAGAGAATGTTTAGTTCATAGTGCAGTTAATTTTAAAAGCCTGAGAAATTTGGAGGATTCTGCTTGAATCAAATCACCGAGGTGAAACACTGGCATATGATGGCTAAGTATCTTCTTTCTTTGCAGCTAGTTTCCAAATGCAGGGCCTATCAAAATCCCTGTTCTGCCAGCTACTCGACCATCTCTCCAGTGTTTTAGACTGGGTAGTGGACAGGAGGTGAGTAAAGTCATAGGTAACGGACAGGAGGTGAGTAAAGTCATGAGTAGTGGATAGGAGGTGAGTAATCTTGTGGGTAGTGGACAGAAGGTGAGTAAAGTCATAGGTAGTGGACAGGAGGTGAGTAAAGTCATGAGTAGTGGATAGGAGGTGAGTAATCTTGTGGGTAGTGGACAGGAGGTGAGTTAAGTTGTGGGTAGTGGACAGGAGGTGAGTAACATCGTGGGTAGTGGACAGGAGGTGAGTAAAGTCAGAAGTGAGCTAACTGTGGTGTGGAAAGAAATGAAGTGGTTTGGAGTATAATGAAGCAGAACAGAACACCTTGCCCACAATTACCCCCAACAAGCCAAATGGCATTTTGTCTACCTCGTCCCTTTCCCCAAACTGACAACCCCAGATAACTGCTCAAATGCCATTTGAAGTGATAGCCAAAGACTTTGAGCTTAGAACCCTTACAATTTGTGCACAAAATAGTATTTAAAAAAATCTTCACAACACAAAAACTACCTAAGATAATAGAAAGCCTACTCAATATACACGAATATGCAAACAAATGGATGTTTTATTTAGACGTTCCAAAATTTAACGCAAAAAATTTGAAGCCCTAAACATTTGAAAAGTACAACACATTTGAGTGGCAAACAAAAGGAATGGAGTTTTGTCCTCCTTTCTCTTGCACTGCCTTCCTGCCCTTGTGCAGAGCCAGCTATTGGGTCTCAATTTATCATTGTCATCGGTGTTCAAAATGATGCCACTGATGGCTGACAGTGTTGTTTTGCATGTGTGCAAGTGTGGCAAAAAGACAGCTGCATGACCAGCAGTTCTCTCCATCCAGCATACGTGAAAAGGCAGCCCTTTGGTTTATGGCTGCAGTAGCAATTTTTACAGCCTGTTACTGTTTACAGCTTTGGGTTCTTCACCTTGTATGCTACCTGACACCTTGACTCCAAACAAATGACCTACTTTTCACTTCATGATCTGCTGTTGCTGTTTCCTGGTATTTTATCGCCAGGCTGCCTCATTTGAAAATGTACCTCTGTGTATCCTTATAACACCTCTCCTGTGTCTTCAGCAATTCACTCTGCATCAGTTCCTCAGACAGCTGATACTGGGGTATTCTATTGACAGAACTAAGACAACTGGTGTTGGTGAGAGGCAAACAGAAACTTCCCTGACTTCCTAAACAGCTCTTGCCAACTCGTCACAAGGCTTAAAATTCTTAACTGTTAAGGCACTGACAATTTGTATCAAAAGTTAAAGCATTAAAGGTCTCCATAAATGATAAATGAGAAAGATAACCAATAATATAATAACAAGAACTATTTACTTAACATTGACTAGGAGCTAGCCACTGAATATACTTGTCCTTAAAACCCAACATCACCTGCAAGATGTTATTATTGTCCCCAGTTTACAGATGAGGAAAGTGAGACGTCTGGAAAGATTAAGGAATTTTTCCTAGACGACACATCTGGCAAGTGACAGGGTAAGATTCAAACCCAGGGCTGGGTGTGGTGGCTCATGCCTGTAATCCCAGCACTTTGGGAGGCCGAGGCGGGCGGATCACCTGAGGTCAGGAGCTCGAGACCAGCCTGACCAACATGGTGAAACCCCGTCTCTACTAAAAATAAAAAAATTAGCTGGGCATGGTGGCGGGTGCCTGTAATCCCAGCTACTCGAGAGGCTGAGGCAGGAGAATCGCTTGAACCTGGGAGGCAGAGGTTGCAGTGAGCCAAGATAGTGCCATTCCACTCCAGCCTGAGGGACAAGAGGGAGACTTTGTCTCAAAAAAAAAAAAAAAAAAAAAAAGATTCAAACCCAGGACTGTCTGACCCCAAAACCCAAGGTTGCTGCATTGTACACTGGTAATGCAGCAGAACAGCCTTGGTCAGCCATTCACACCTCCACAGGAGCTGCAGTGCTCAATAAATGTTTGATGAATCAGTGAATGAGCTCCTCGTGGTGAATTAGTTTACCAGATTGGCTTCCAGTTACCTGGCAAGTATTCTGAACAAGCGAGAGTCTGGACAAGTTAGCTGTGCTAGGAGAAAGGAAAGATGCAGCCCAGAACAGAGGGCCAGGACGAGCAGGGTTAGGTGAGATAACATCTAGAGAAGCCAGTGGGGAGAAAGTCACAAATATGCTATGATGTTAGAAGGATGGTAGGGAAGAGAATAGAAAGAAAGAGCCCAGCAAAGATGAAACACCAAAACCAATTCTGGGATAATACTGTTGTTCAAAGATGACCCTGCTGCTGTGGTCCCTTCTTTCTCCCTTTGACCATCTCCCATTCAACATCACACAAGTAGGCAGTCGTGGAAGTGAGCTTTTTCCATAGGGGAAACACTGCTTCTCTGATGTGTACTCAAACTTTAAATTCCTCAAAGTGCAATTCAGCTTACTTAGAGTTGTATTTTTTTAATGAAAATTACATATAATTTCAAACATATTCCTGTTCCAGACCAGAGCTGTAGAACAGAAAGGTCTGTGTCCTTTTCAACACGTTAGTCCATCTCCATTATAAACATCTAAGCTGTGCTGTCACAGTATGAATATACCTGAAAATCTACTAGGGATCTTTGCCCTCTATCCCACTTCACTGTTAATGAGCTAGAATAAATAGGAAATATCAGGGCACTGACAATGGTTGTAAAAGAAAGTAAGGGAGGGAGGGAAAAAAAGGAAGGGAGGAGGGAAAAACAGAGTTTAAAATGAAACAAAATTGAGGCTAAAGTGAATTGCAGGTTACCTACTAGAGCCAGGGAAAGTGAACTGTGATTTAGCTAGACCTGTGCTATTGTTTGTGAAAGAACAGTTCACGAGGAAACAACAGTCACTGAGTAAGGAAGGGCCTTGAAATGAGCTTCTTTGAGAGTGTAGAAAACACTGCCTAGGGAAATGAACTGATGAGACTCATGTAGGCTGGCACACTGTGTGAAGAAATAAACTGTAATGTTATCTCAGAGAAAGGGAGGGAAAAATAGTTCAGGATTTGAAAGGTAAGAAAGAAAACCAGTTCAGGGCCAGGTGTGGTGGCTCACACCTGTAATCTCAGCACTTTGGGAGGCCGAAGCCAGTAGTTCGAGACCAGCCTAACCAACATGGTGAAACCCTGTCTCTACTAAAAAATACAAAAATTAGTCAGGCATGGTGGCAGGCGCCTGTAATCCCAGCTACTGTGGAGGCTGAGGCAGGAGAATCGCTTGAACTGGGGAGGCAGAGGTTACAGTGAGCCGAGATTGTGCCATTGTACTCCAGCCTGGGCGACAGAGCAAGACGCTGTCTCAGAAAAAAAAAAAAAAAAAAAAAAAAAAAACAAGAGAAAACCAGTTCAGAAAACCTGAATGAAATAGCACCTAGGATCATGAATAAGGCTGGTAGGAGTATGACTATGAAGGCAAGTGGGATGGACCCATGGAGTCAGTGAGTCAGAGGAATCCAAACAGAAAAGTGCTCTTGGGAGCCTGAAGGGAAAATCTAATCTGGAAACTTGAGTGGCAGACTCAGCTGCTGCTGGTGCTGCTGCTGCTTTTTTTTTTTGGAGACAGGGTCTCACTCTGTTGCCCAGGCTGGAGTATAGTGCACATGATCGTAGCTCACTGCAGCCTTGAACTCCTGGGCTCAAGCAATCCTCCCACCTCAGCCTCCCAAGTATCTGGGACTACAGGCTACTTTTTTTTTTTTTTTTGTACTTTTTGTAGAGATGGGGAGTGGGAGGCCTCACTTTGTTGCCCAGGCTGGTCTCGAACTCCTTCCCTCAAGTAATCCTCCCTCCTCAGCCTCAAAAGTCCTGCGATTACAGGCATGAGCCACCGCACCCGACCTCGGCTTCTCTTAAAAAGAGCCCAGCCTAGTATAGGATCAAAGTCAACTGGCTTAATAAGATTGATCAAAATTGCCAAGTGCAAGGGCTAGTGTGGACCCGGGAGCAGAAACAAGAACCTGGAAGAGTACGGTTAACTTGTGAAACCTTTGCTAACCTGATAATTGAACAGCACAAAAACAAGAATTTGACATTTCTCTCACTAGTATGTAAATATATCCTTCACTTTCCTTTCTCTACAAGGTGCACATTAATTGTAGTAAAATGTGCTGCATTGCAGTGAGTAAAGAGAAAGAACAGAAAGAAAAGGTGGGTCAAGCTCCATGCTTCTGTGGATTCCTTGATCCCAGCCCACCCAATCCTCTAACAAGCTTGATTCTCCATTGACAACAGGTCAAACACAACTGAAATGAAAGGCCAGAGAGAAATTGTTCCCGAGGGTTTTCTCTTTTAGGCGCTGTCTCTGAGAACTCATTTAAGAGAGAATAGTGTCAAGTCTAGGCCTGTAGGTAACAAAGAATGAAGTAGAAACCAGAATTGTAAGATTACATCATAAATTCAGAGACTATTGATGTCTGTTCACAGTACTATTCAGCTGTTTAGCAAAGCTACTCAACAGATAGAATCTTAAACTTTTTTTTTTTGCAGATGGTGAATACTTTTTGGATTTTTATATAACCTTGGGATGAGTCAATATTTAATAAAAATGCTGAAATTCAGAAGATATATGTATCTCTTACAATGTTTTCATTTACTGTAGTAGTGAATCTCATTAAAGTTTTAAGAATAAAGAAATACATGCTGAAAGATATACAGTATTTCTAAATCTGATAACCAAGGCATATTTAGCTGCTTTTATGCAAAGGAATATTTTCAGGTCTCAGCTGATTTGCTTCTCTATTTAGCAAACTTATAGGAAACTTTGCCACTATCTAGTTACATGCAAAGAATGTAGATTAATTTGCTGTAATTTCAACTTTAAAACTATATGTGTCCTTTGCTGCTCAAATTCTCACTAATTGCAATCTAAAATTTAGGAATCAAATGAATTTGGTAACACAGCATCCCTGTTGTACTAACCTGCTATGAAAGATTTCACTCTATGAACCAATGAACTGTATGATGAAGGATATTTTTACTTAACAGTCTTGGTAAAACAAGGTGCCTCACTTACAAAATATATTTGGCTGCTAGTAACACAGACTGTAATAAACTGTGGCTTAAACAGAATGGAAGTTATTTTTCTTGAATGTAAGATAATTCTAGAAGGAGGCATGCCAGGTCCAGTAGGGGAGAGTGACAATCAACAAGGAGGCAGAAGATTCCTTTTTGTCTTTCTTTTCCACTATCCTAATTTGTGGTTTTCATCATTTAGATAGCCTCAGGTCCAAGACAGCAGCTGGAACTCCAGCCATCACATCTTCATTCCAACAGAAAACAGGAGGAGGTGGGGAAGGGAAATAGAAAAGGAACATCCACTCTCTAGCCCCACTTAAGAAGCCTTTCAAGAAGACTCACCCAACAATTTTTCATATCATTGGTTGAAATTTAATCACATGGCCACATCAAGCTGCAAAGGAAGTAGAAATGTGAACTTTTAGCTAAGCACCTTGCCACATCAAATATTAGTTGTTTTGTTAAGGAATAAAAATTATTGTGTAGCAACAGTCTATCTCACCAAAAACTATCATTAAAGCATTACAAACACATATGTGCCAATATAATTATCTTAATAAATTACTTTTGAACAGTTCTTTTTCTGGGATCCATTATATTACTGTTCCCATTATTAACATAAAATGTAAGAGTTAACTCCTTCATTGGCACACCCCTAAATAAAGGTCACCATACTGACCTAGCCTATTCTGAAAAAACATAACAGATACATTGAAGCTTTATGATAAAGTATTTGTTATGGAGCAGCGCTTAGTGAAAGGGTTAATCTGTTTTGGATCCCAACCATGAGGCTATGATTTTCAGGCAGCTCCAAAGAGTAGTTTAGGCTGGAAGTGAAGGAGCTTTAACTCTCCCATAATCTCACTGAGCATCCCTGCCCTCTCGCCCTGCTTGTCAGTTTGCTATGAATGCCTTTCTTGAATTTATTTTAAAAAATACAGCAGATCTGAACAAAACAAACAAACCCTGCTATGCAAGCTCAGCTCACAGTTCCCCTTGCACCATCTTCCCACCAGATTGCAGATTCCAGCCCTAAATTTATCTAATATGGAAAGTCTGGAGTGGCCTGTGTTGCGATTACAGAAATACATAAAGGACAAGGAAGGTTGTCCCCGTTTGTGGACTCAGTATGAGATAATATCTCCTGTACATGCTATTTAAACGTTAGGGAAGGTTTTTGGGTGTTAATTAGCATCACTAGCAAAGACAGAGAAACAGAGAAAGAGAGCAAGCAGTATGTTCAAAGTGATTTGCAAATATTCCTATTAGGCATTTAAACCATCCTACCCCACATGACATGTTAGAGATAATGAGAAAGAGATTCAAGATGCTGTTGCTAAGGCACTTTTCCAACCCAGGGTGAAAATCTCACTATAAATAATACATCAAAAAGCTGGTTGCTTTGTGCTTTCCTGCACTTTGATTCCAATATGCATCCTTATCATTATCAACAATTCTTTTGAACCAAAGTGTTCCCTGTTTCTTTCATTGGAAAGTACGTATCATTTATTAATATTACTTCAGTCTATATTTTACTTGGGAAAATAATAAAGAAATATCATTTGCTTGAACTATTCCTTAACCCAGACTCTCTGTTCTGTTTTCTCAAGCACCACTGAGTCCGATAGGAATGAAAGAATTTTATCTTATATATTCCATTTCGTGAGGAGTTTTAGCAATCTTGTCAGGTGTTTATTGTGAATTGTTGAGGGTTATAATTACATGCATATAATAAAAGTTAATTTCAGTCAAGGTATGTTGCTTAATTCTTGATCCTCATTTTTTATAACCCAAAGGGTTACTTTTCTTATTTAATGCTTTATAAATCTAAGGACGTGTTACACAAAACACAGCAGTTCACAGGGCCCAGCGATATTGTGGTTTTATGAACCTATATAAGAAATCAACTTTGGATTGTTGCTTTTGAGGTTTGGAAATTCAATCTAACTCCATTTGCTCTGTTTTAAATGACCTTTTATTTTGAATCATACTGTATTGTAATGTATTGTGTTAGACTTAATTCTAACAAAATATGAAGCCTAACATACATTGAGCATTCATACATGTTAGAGCTTCATAAAGTCATATTTCACTTGATTTTCATGACAACCATGAGACATGGGTATGACATATAACAAGAGAGAAAATGGAGACTTAGGTTAAATAATGTTGTTCATGGTCATACAACTTCTATGTGTTTTTAAAAATTTTACAGCAGGGTTTCTTCTCTAGGAAAATCTAACGCAAATAGTGCAGCTCTTTATAATTACCTCACCAAGTAAAGAAGAAATGAATCTATCAAAAAGGTTTCAATTCAGAGAAGAAACAAGATGGATGGATGAATGATTTTTTTAGTTTCCTGTGTATATGCACTATACACAAACATGTATACTGCTCACATTAATGTGGCACGCATCATAGTCTCTTCTATGGTAAAAAGACTTTATGGACGCTGTGATTTTAAAATGTCATTATTTGGCAATTGACCACACAGATGATCTAGGTCAGAAGTCCTAAACTACCATTTCATAGGTCAAACCTGACTTGCAGTTATAGTTCTCTTTTTGTTTTGTTTTCCTACATAATTGAAATAGAGATTTTACATAAAATCCCAGTTTCCGACATCACTTGCAAAACATAAGATTGGTCACCTTGCGCTTGAATTCCCACAGAGCATCAGTCAGTCAGAATTGAATTGAGTAGTAGTAGCTCCTTTTTTTTTTTTTTTTTTTTTTTCTCCCCTTTGAGACAGGGTCTGTTGCCCAGGCTGGAGTGTAGTGGGGTGATCATGGCTCATTGCAGCCTCTACCTCCTGGACTCAAGTGATCCTCCCACATCAGCCTCCTGAGAGCTGGGACTACAGGTGTCAGCCATCCCACTTGGCCTAGTAGTAGCTCATTTTAGATGGATCCTGTGCTCCCTCTCATTGCCACAGTCTCCATTTATTAGCTTCATTCATTTATGTTATTTAACTGACCCCATAAGCATTTGTGTTTTGTGACCACCATCTTAGGTTCTAAACATTACCTCTACCAAACTGTAAAAAGTAGGAATTCTACACCTGTTTCCCACACCCAAGATCCATCTCCCCTCCTGTGATAATTGCCTTTCACTCATGGGCAGTGTATATTGGGTAAACCAGCCACCTTGGCCAAGAATGATTTGACACAAGCCAAGCAGGGTCATTCACGTGCTTTCTCTTAGGAACTTTAAACTTGGACTTAGAAGAGCTATGTAATCTCTGCATGCAGCTACAACCCTGTCAATTTGGAAAGTGTAGGGTAGCCATATTCAGCCATTTTGACTGCACAAGCAGAGAGATCTTATTTGGAGAAAAAGAAGAGAAAAGCAGAGGTGACAACCAAGTTGTCAAGATCTATAAGATCCTCCAATATCCTTATAATAAACCCTCTTATCTGCATACATTGTTTTCAAATGGTTTGTTTCTTACAGACACTTGTCTTAGCCTTGAAACCTGCTGACTTCCCAACTCTGTGGTTCAATTTCCAAACCTCTTAAAGTTAAAAAACAAAACCTGCTATTTTTTTCAGCTCGTCACACAGGATGTTGGTACTCAAAATAAGTCTATTATATATTATTTGTAAACTGTAAACTACCATACAAATCTAAGGTATTATTCTCATGACAGCTCTGGCAAATGTTCACTAAATGGAGACACAATAGATGAAGAAAAGTGGGAAAATATTTGTGGCTAGAGCAGAGCAAGGTACCCAAGACGCTTGCAGCTTTTAAGTCAAACTATTGTACTGGCAGTAAATAAGCACTTTCTGGTGGCTGTCAGGGTGGTCCCAACCTAACTAGACATTCCTCTTCTTCAGGACTGAGAATACAGTGGCCTTTCCCAAGCACGAATATGGAAGGATTATATTTTGCTCAACTATACTTTTGAGCAACGCCAACTTCCTTAAGCAATTTCCCCGAAGCACTAGGACATGAATCAGTCAAAATACTGCAAGTCAACTCTGCAATTTTCTCTCTGCTCAGCAATGTAGTCAAAAACTGGTAAATCAGGGTGAACCATTGTGTCAGGAAGAATTTGATTAGAATGAAACTCCTCCCTACATTTCTTAAATCCATACAAGTCATAAAACTCAGATTTAGTTTATTCCTGAATATGAGAATATGTCTGAAAAACAGAGCTCAGATAACAGGCAATAGAACATAACCTTGTTTGCTGTGATTCTTGTAAAGAAAAACAATTGCAGGCCTGTTCATCACTCATGAAAAATACATCGTATAGTACTGGAACAGTGATTAACTTGCACTTATATTATTGACCTGAATAAATTATTTCTTCATTAGCAGATTATAATTTTGTGTATGTGTCACTTCAAGGCCCTAAAAATAAGAACTAGCTTCCCACCTAGTAGCAGTAGAGAAGCAGTACCAAAAAAAAACCAAACCCCCCACAAAACTAACATTACCTTTCAGGAAGGAACTACATGTTTGTAAAAGCAGGAAAGGAAAAGATTTTTAAGTAATATCTGCTGCTACCTTACAAATCTGTCCAAGTGAATTTTGAATAATTACTGGATTAAATAATAAACTGCCAACCTAAAGCAGAGCAGGATTTGCAATGGTATAATCGACCACAGAGGGATACTCAAATCAGCTAATCTCTTAGTGGCTGTCTCTTTCCGGAGTGAAGAGAAAGATACACTGAGTCTCTAAATGTGTCCAGCTGAAAAGAAAAGTTAACAGTCTGAGATTAACTTAATTTAAAATCGTGGAAAAATTTGATGAGAGGCAGTCTATATTAATTCTTTCAAAACAATGGAGCAAGGAGAAGGCTTTTCTACACTAAACGGTATCGATTATAGGAAGAGTAAACCAAGAAAAATAATGTGCACATCTTTTTTAAGCTGGAAAATGCCTATTTGGTAAAATGATCACTTCCGTTTTTGAGCACCCCTTTGCTGAGGCAGCGAATGGCGGCGTCGGCGGGGTTGTCAGAGAGCAGACGTCGGAGCACTGAGCAGTCTAGATTCTGCGGCATGTCCCCCCCGGAAGAAGCGGGAGAGGCGGCGGCAAGAGCAGAAGCAGGACCCCAAGCAGAGAACTAGGATAGCGAGGCCGGGGGCTGGACCGCAGCCCGGCGGCCAGGAAGGGCGGCGGGGCGGCGGGGACGCTCGGGCACTCAGTCAACCTCACGGGGCGGGGCGGCCGCGGGTCGCGGGCGGATGACGCGCCGGGGCCGGCGGAGGAGCAGCCACTTCCTGGGGCCGCCGGCCGGGGCCGCTGGCTGCACTCAGCGCCGGAGCCGGGAGCTAGCGGCCGCCGCCATGTCCCACCAGACCGGCATCCAAGGTAACAGCGCCCGGCGCGACTCGCAGGGAAGGGGCTTCCGGGAGAGCCGGGAGAGCCGGGAGGGCTGCAGGACCGGCAGGGCTGGAGTCGGGCCGGGAGCTCCGGAAGTCGGTCTCGCGGGGCGAGCCGGGCCTCGGCGCCTCTCCGCGCTCCTGCTTCCCGGGCGCTGCCGGCCTGCGTCCTCCTCCAGCCCGGTCCCTGCTGCCGTCACGTTGCAGATTGATCCGAAATTCGGGGGAGCGAAGGAAATTGGCTTTCGAGGCGGCCTGGTTGAAGGGGGCGTGCCTTCCACCGTCCCCGACAGTCGCCCAACTTTCCCCCTTTTGGTCACGTAGGGAAGAGCTGGGACAGTGGAGGCGACTGGGGCTTCAGTACGCTGTCGAGAACCAGGCGAGTTTTCTTTTTCATGGTCCAAAGGAGAATATTACAGGACTTTGATTACAAAAAGAACCATGCCAGAATCTTTCTCACATCAGTAGGGGTGCTTCCCAAAACTCTCCCGCATTTTCTCTCCAAATAGGAAAATGAGAGTTATGTTCTGAGAAATCTCGAGTGTAAGCGTGTGTTTTGATCTTTTTCCTAGATACTCCCCAAGGGAAACTGATCTGTATGGTTGCATGTAATGCGTGCAGACAGTTCAATATGCAGTTATATCTGACCTCCATTATTTCCTGGTTTGAAATTGGGCAGCCTGCAGGTACTCACCTCATCAAGAGTCAAATAATATATCCCCGGGTTACTCGCGATCACTTAACGAGTTCTAGTGTAAACTCAAGCTCTTACTGTTAATAGCGAGTCTTTCTCCCAGATGAACACTTAATTGTATGTTTTATTCGTAAAGATTTTTGACACCACCGCACACATCCCCCTGCACGCACGCAGAAGCAAAATAGTCTCAAATCTGAAAACTTTGTTTTATTTATCCGCATTAATTTCGATATATAAATATGTAGTTATTGACTCTCATGCTTGAGCCTTATAGCAAGCACTACCTACTTACATAGTGGTTCTTGCTGCTAATAGACAACACAGGAACGAAATTAGAACGAAATTGAAGCTTTAATAGGAACACAAGGGTTAGTTATTAAATACATATTTATTCAATGAGTTTAATCTAGCTTTTGAGAAATGCAAGTTAGAAAAATATAACCAGAGTTAAGACTGAATGCATTTTATTGTCTTTTTCTTTAAACAAGTTAGGATATTTGATATATACTGTTGTTTTTAACGGGAAAATACAGAAAGTGAATTGATGAAGGAGTGTCTGTCATAAGCTTGAAACTGAATTAGAGAATGAAAGCAGGTTTTCAATATTTTTCAAAAGAGCAAGAAAAGTTTTTCAAAATTGTAATTTGCTCATTATTGGGTTTGAGTAACTTCAGTATATTCACCCCAGTGTTATTTCTGCACAGAATTATGTAGCTAAAACAGATTAGAATTATTAACATACTTTTAAAATGCTAATATTTATATTTCTTAATTGTATACAGTCTTCGTTATTTTATGCGGTAAAGTTTTATAATACTGATAATAAGGATGCTACATGCTCCAGATTTTTTCTTTGTATTCTAATTAACTTTTCCAATATAGATAGGAAAGTATTTATATGTAAGTATAAAAAGTTTACTTTCTTTATCTTTTTCCACAGCAAGTGAAGATGTTAAAGAGATCTTTGCCAGAGCCAGAAATGGAAAGTACAGACTTCTGAAAATATCTATTGAAAATGGTTAGTTAAATATTTTAAAATATTTTCTGTTCCTGGATTAGTGGCTGTTGTATTTTTAAACTTACTGTGTGTTGTCAGTGATTTGAACTATTAATTAATATGAAGCAAGTTCAAATCTTACGGTAACTTGGATTCCTCATATTTTGTGCAGGTCCCTATGGGCCCCTAATTTCATTCTGAATTATGTGACTATCAGGGAAACAGAAAGATGTTTTTTGATGTGACTTCTTCCTCTTTTACTTTTTGTGTCTCAGTTTCTGCACCACAGTCCATTTCTAATGTCAGTGCTTCCATCTCTGGAATGGAAATCACTAAACAGGTGATTATCAAAAAAAAAAAATAGTTACTTGTGAATTATTCAATTAAGTTTGTTTTTAAATATAAACAAAGGATATCAAACTCCCATTTTCTCCATTTGATTGCAACCTTTGCCACAGAAATGATCATTTCCCTTTCTTGTTTTGGGAAAGTTCTGAGAATATAACAAACTACAAATTGATTCTTTAAAAATAATTCTGTAAACAGGGAATCTGGTTGAGTGGGAGAATCTTTTAAATCAGGCAGATTTGAATTTGAACAATTATTGTTATAGGTACTCAGTCATAAATGAATATATTAAAATATTCCAGTGGCCTAATTTCTTAAATATCTGAAAATATTTTGCTTTGGAAAAGTAACTTGTTCTTTCACAAACTGGAAGTAAATCTAATTTGTTTTCTATTTTCTGCTTATATAAAAAATACCAGAATAGTTTGTAAAATATGCATTTGTTTACATACAACATTCAATAGGAATATATGTATATTGTAAAACAGCATATTTTAAAAATACTGAGCTAAAATTTTTAATGCCATCACTTCCTAAGTGACTAGTTAAGGAACTAAAATGGAAAAGTTAATCTAACTAGCATCTCTACGGAAGGAAAATGGCACTACTTCCTAAGTTATTATTTTCTGGTTTTACTTTTTTGTTTTGTGAAAATTTTTAAATAAGGAAAATTCCAAAGACTAAAATTGTATCATAAATACCTATATCTCCCCTTTATTAATAACTGCTAACATTTTATCTTATTTACTTCAAGCATTTTAGAAAATTCAGTGTTTTTCTGGTATAAGAGCATCCCCTTTAAACAATTTTGCTTCTGACCTCCTTACCCTGGGGCAACTACAATTGGGAGTTCTGATACTTGTGCAGTCTGTTTTTACATGTATCCCTAAATAGCATATAGTGCTCTTTGAGTTTACATAAACTGCATGATACCATCTTACTCTGTATCTTTCCTTTTTCTGAAAATGTTCCATTTGCAATTAGTTTTGATAGCTCAATAATTCATTTTAAATCTGAACAGAATGTTATATGACTATGCCACACATTATTTTTGCATTGTCTTATTGATGAACATTGAGGCTATAACTTCACTGTTACTGTATAGTGCTGCAGTGAACACCTTTGTATTTATGTATAAGAGATTCTGTATGCATAGTAGATTAACAGTTTTACTTGATTCTGCTGAATACCATTTCAAAGTGGCTATACCAGTGTATACATCTAGGCAAATGTTTAAATCTGTAGCATTATGGCCAAATAAAAAGGAGTTAAACATGGTTTTATTTAATATTTCTTACTGTACAATTCATTGTTAATGTCAGAAATTATACTTTTGAATGGTAGTTTAAATATATTTTGTTGATAACTTAAGCTCAGACATTTTGGAAAATAGAAATGTAATGACTGTTATAGGTCATTACATTATTTGACCATTCAGTTCAACTGTTATGATCATTTTTATATGTTTCTTTCTTAGGCTGTGTATATTTTAAACATTTTAACCATGTTCATAAAAAGTTAACAGTTTTTATAATACTCTATGTCATAATTACTTTCTATGTTACCACATTTTTCTTTTCAACTTTTTGATGTGAATAATAGTAACTGGGAAATGACTATATATTTATTTTTCTAGTCTTCATCACACTACCACTTGATATCTCAAACCATTTACCTATCTTTCTAAAAATAATTTTTCATAGAGCAACTTGTGATTGGATCATATAGTCAGCCTTCAGATTCCTGGGATAAGGATTATGATTCCTTTGTTTTACCCCTGTTGGAGGACAAACAACCATGCTATATATTATTCAGGTTAGATTCTCAGAATGCCCAGGGATATGAATGGATATTCATTGCATGGTCTCCAGATCATTCTCATGTAAGTAACTTTTTTATAGTTTGTTTAACATTAAATGCTAGAAAAATGTTTTTGAAATTTCTAGGTCAAATAAAGGTTAAAAAACAATAATTATTTCCCATAGAAGGGAATGATCATGAGGAAAATCCTTGGATTGATAACGGAGAATCAGGAATAATGTGCTTAGATTCGGGAGTTTTGCCCTTGAAATCAAAATAATTATTACTGATTTAAGATTTAAAAATTTGTGGCAATGGCAATTTTTTCTTTCTTTTTTAAGGCAGAATCTCACTCTGTCACCCAGACCAGCTTGCTGTGGTGCAGTTTCGGCTCACTGCAACCTCTGCCTCCCAGGCTCAAGTGATTTTCCCACCTCAGCCTCTTGAGTAGCTGGGATTACAGGCATGTGCCACCACGCCCAGCTAATTTTTATATTTTTAGTAGAGACGGGGTTTCACTGTGTTGCCCAGGCTGGTCTCAAACTCGTGGCCTTAAGTGATCCACCCACCTCGGCCTCCCAAAGTGCTGGGATTACAGGTATGAGCCACTGTGTCCAACCTAATTTGTGGTAATTTTAAAATGACTCCATGGGCCTCTGAAAAATGAAGGAAACTGCCTGGCCCTGAGAGTAATAATTGTAATAAATCTGAGAACTAATTGAACATAATATTAAATTTTGTTAGTATTATCATACATTTATTAATCGCTACCATTCAAGTGATGGGCCTGCATACAAACAAGTATTTTAGGAAAGCTGGTAGTAGATTGACTGTATAGAACAATAGACAGAATTAATATATGAATATGGCCCAATATTTAAAAAATTAATTTGAATTTTTCTTATTAAAAAATAATTATTTTTAAAGTTATCTAGATATTTTCTCAAAAGATCATCCCATTCCTCTTTAATTCCCCATGTTCTATCTGAAAGAAATACTGGGTTTGACCATGCAGGATTATGAAATTATTTGTTAATTGGTAGTTATCTTTAGTAGCTTTCCATAGATACTAGTTGACTCTTGAATTTTTTTTTCCATCTTTGTGTCCCTCCTAGAATGGTATGTGCCATCGGTAAGCCGTGAATTTTGATTCTTAACAACTTAATTCGTAATCTTTGATACAGCTTTGAGAAGAATGTCACTATCAAAGTTACTTCATTTCAGTTTTCCTCATATTTTAATTTTTTATTCTTGAACTTATGAGTTTGAAAAATGAAGAATTTAAACAATTTATATTTTTTTCAGCTTTAAAATGTGGCCAGGCACGGTGGCTCATGCCTGTAATCCCTAAACTTTGGGAAGCCGAGGCGAGTGGATCACCAGAGGTCAGGAGTTTGAGACCAGCTTGACCAACATGGTGAAAGCCCGTCTGTACTAAAAATAGAAAAAATTAGCCAAGTGTGGTGGCGCACACCTATAATCCCAGCTACTCGGGAGGCTGAGGCAGGAGAACCACTTGAACCTGGGAGGCAGAGGTTGCAGTGAGCTGAGATCATGCCATTCCACTCCAGCCTGGGCAACAAGAGCAAATCTGCGTCTCAAAAAACAAAAAAAGTGACATTGTAAATTGAAGTCCATCTTACTAACCATTGATAGTTTAGATGCCCATGTTAATGACGGTTATTTGTACACACGTATTTTAGCATATTATAGTGGGTGGACTTCAGCTCAGTTTTGTTTTTAATGTGATTCAGGATATTAATATATTCAGAATGTGCTTGCTTTTGTAATGTTATGTTTTCATCTATAAACTAAGTAAACTTTCACAACTGAATAGGTTCGTCAAAAAATGTTGTATGCAGCAACAAGAGCAACTCTGAAGAAGGAATTTGGAGGTGGCCACATTAAAGATGAAGTATTTGGAACAGTAAAGGTATTATGTTTGTATGTGGATTCTATATGTTGCAATTAAAATGATTAAAGAGGAACTCCTAGGTAATGGGTAATTGATACGAATTCAGATGGATAATCTGAAAACATGAGAATAAGAGAAATACTGTATTTCATATAATATTAAAGTTAGCTGTAATGAATATGTAACTTTGAGTTTATTCATTTGTATCTATTTGACATTGACAAGTGATATTGAAACATACTGATTCTTCTAAAGTATATGGTAAATATATGTATTTACACATATATACACAAATTGAAACACTGAAATATATTTTTGAACTTTTTTGTTTGTTTAGAGCTTTTCTGATTCAGAAAGTCATATAATCTAGTGGATAGAGCACAAGACTAGATGGGAATATATTGCTTCTTCACCATTAATTGTGAAGTGGGCTGGTTTCTTAATTTCATGAGTCTCAGTCTTCTAAACCACAAAATTTTGATGATAGGTAGACCTCTTTGTAGTATTTTTTTCTTTTGACATGAAAACTATAATAATTTTCCATGAATAATTACAAAGAAATTATATTAAGCATTATAACATAGTATTCAGAATCTGAATATGTTGATTATTGGATAATCATTGGGCAGTTTTCTCCAGAAGGTTAATTACAGTTGTCCTATAGACTTACAGGATGACCAGGTTCAGTATTTCACTTTGCCAGTATGAAACTCATACAAAATATTTAGTAATTATAAAGCTTCATATAAAATGAACAGTGGGTACTCCCCTTAAAAAGTTTTGAAACTTAAAATTGAGGATTAAAGAAAAGTAAAAAGATATTAAAATTCATAATGCTATTTATTTTCATTTAAAATCTTTTCTGTTAATGATTTTGTTTTTCCTAAAGTAACTTCACTGTCATTTTACTTCTAGAGAATTACTGATTATAGTCTATTCTGTACTTACAGGAAGATGTATCATTACATGGATATAAAAAATACTTGCTGTCACAATCTTCCCCTGCCCCACTGACTGCAGCTGAGGAAGAACTACGACAGATTAAAATCAATGAGGTAAGTTACAACTACAAAGTCTTTGCAAGATTTTAAGTGTTTGAAAATACTGTATTTTTAATTAATAGATGTGGGAGGATAACTAGAGATTAAAGAAGTTAGGTAGCTTAGGTTTATTCCGTTTAGTTTAGAGATAAGGCTATGTGCTTAATGCCTTTTCAGAAAAAAAAAGTTAAAATGAATATTAAACTTTATATGCATTTTATAAATAGCTTTTCCTATAATCTTCATGTCAGAATAGTAAATCTTCCTTTTGAAGTACAACTGTTGTGAACTTTGTACTTTGAATATTATATAGAGAAAAAGTGTGTGTTACCCATTTAGTGCAAAGAATGTATCTAATAAGGTTGCCTGAAGCAGATTATTGTTTTGTTGGCTTTCTAGAGAGTCTACAAATTAACTTCTATGAACTCTACTTGAATAGAGATATATATGGAAGATTATTATTTGAGTACCTGTTGAGCATATTAGAGTCAATAAATTTCAGCCATATTATTTTGTAGTTTATCATTATTTTTAATGTGTTTTCTACAGCCATTCTAACATACTGGAATAACTACTGTATTTCTACTGGGACTTTACAGAAAAGAACAAGTGGCTGAAACCACTATTCATTAGCTGAAACCACTGTTCATTAGCCTGAGTCACAGACAGTAGGAATCAGTCTGGAGAATGGTTGAATATCATTTAATATTAAACTGGTAGCAAGGATCTATCATATTATTTTAATTCATATTATTTGAGTAGGGCTTTTTATGTGATTTTTTTTTTTTTTTACGAGTTTGATAGTTTGTTTTATTTCTTGCAATCAGAGCCCAGAGGATCATATTGGGGTATGCATTCGCATATGTTCTATGATGTTTTCATTAACCAATATCATTTATGCTGTAGAATCTCCATTCATTTTTTTAAAAGTAAAATTTCTATTGGACTTTCTGTTGCAACACTGCGAATGAGACTCTCTACTAGCTATCATTTATCAAGTATAAAAATCTTAAACATGTGCATTGAATGCTTTCTTATCTTTCTCCTCTTCCAGTACATGCACACCATGTTCTTAGTAAAGAAATCTCTTAAGTCTGGAACTTCTGCAGTAGTATAACTTGTTGAGCTGTGTTGTCTTTGTACACTGTTTGTACTCCTTTCAATTCAGTGCATGATGTTTGTGTTGCATTTTCTGTCCAACAGAACAAAGTAAAGTTCTATACATATTGTATGTAGATTGTTGTTTATAAATTCTATCAAGTAAAATTTTACAATCAGTGGTGTAATCTGATGACACTCTAAAGAAATTGTGCCAAACCAAACATAAAAACAAACCCACCCAAACCCCACTAACTGTACACTCATTCAAATGTTCACTTCCAACATTGTCGTAAAGATGTGTCATGCACTCTGCATGTTGACAAAATGCTAGCAGGACCGTAAACAAATGTGAAAAATAATTTTAATTATAGGTTGGGCTAGGGTTGAATGATACTATTTTATAGAGGTTGGGTTTTCTTATGTTTGCCATAGGATACTGCTAACTGCTAAACTTGTAAATTAAATCTGTCATACTTAGGTACAGACT
This sequence comes from Homo sapiens, assembly GCF_000001405.40. NCBI lineage: Eukaryota > Metazoa > Chordata > Mammalia > Primates > Hominidae > Homo > Homo sapiens. The sequence continues at coordinate 43,797,824 of NC_000012.12, read as the reverse complement.
GACGTGGGTGTGGACACTAAGCATCAAACACTACAAGGAGTAGCATTTCCCATTTCTCGAGAAGCCTTTCAGGCTTTGGAAAAATTGAATAATAGACAGCTCAACTATGTGCAGTTGGTAAGAGATGTATAATGATTATTAAGTGGCTGCTCTTTTTGGTAGTTTATGACTCATATAGGGTTTATTATTAATGGATTTTACATTTTAAATAGCTTTCTGATTTCTAAAATTCATTTTGTAAATGTTCATTGTGAAAAAGTCAAACCATCCAGAACTAAGTTCCTCCTTTATCTCTTGGTCTTTTTATTATATGTTTTAACTTAATTTCCTTATATCTGGTTTTAATGAACATATTTTGTTTCTTATTGGCAGGAAATAGATATAAAAAATGAAATTATAATTTTGGCCAACACAACAAATACAGAACTGAAAGATTTGCCAAAGAGGATTCCCAAGGATTCAGCTCGTTACCATTTCTTTCTGTATAAACATTCCCATGAAGGAGACTATTTAGAGTCCATAGGTATATGATACATTGTTTTTAACACATTACTTTCAGTTTGTTTATTGGTGTATCAGCCCTATATTCTTACTTATTTCTTGCCCAGAGGGCTTAGCTGTAGTTTTATGAAGTTTCTGTACTTGTTTTTATGAAGTTTATATATGTAGTTTTATGAAGTTTATGTATTGATATGCTAATTATATTTGTTATTATTTGAACTTACAGTTTTTATTTATTCAATGCCTGGATACACATGCAGTATAAGAGAGCGGATGCTGTATTCTAGCTGCAAGAGCCGTCTGCTAGAAATTGTAGAAAGACAACTACAAATGGATGTAATTAGAAAGGTAGCCCACCTATTTTAAAATCTTCAGTTTTTGCTAAATTTTTCTTTTCATTTCTATGTAGTTTATGATGTACTGTGATTTATAAATGAAAATATTTATTTTTCTTGTTATCATCCTAAATCCTTAGGATCTCCTCTAAGTGCCTGGGAACTACCTGTCATGATCCCCATCTCTATATATATCTGTACTTCCTAGTAAGCCACATGTGGCTATTTAACTTTAAATAAGATTTAAAGTTCTGTTTCTTAATTCCACTAGCCTTATGTCAAATTCTCATTAGCTAAATGTGGCTACTGGCTACCGTATTGGTTAGTGCAGAATTTATAGGACATTTCCATCAGTGCAAAAAGTCCTATTGGACAGCGCTGCCAGAGCTGCATACTTGTGATTATTTCTACTGCATATTAATAAGGAATTACAGTCTCCATTATGACTGAATTATGGGATGGTTGGGAGTCTTTCCAGTTTGGGGGAAGGAAGGAATAAGCATAAACATTTGAATTTTGGGAACTAAGCTACCAATTTTCTTAAATTTTCTTAAGTACAGATAAGGCATGGGGAAAGATATATATTCTTGAGCCCTTAAACTCATAAAAATACAGGTCCTTAAAAACTACCAGTGTTTTTAGGTTCTGAACCCTTCATGCTTTTTAAGTTCCTAAGAATCAATCACTTTATCATGGGTAGCACCTTCTATAGCAGGGATCAGCTGACTTTCTACAGAGGACCAAATAGTAAGTAAAGGCTTTGCCAAGCCACATATAATCTCTGTCATATATTCTTATTGTTGTTTAACAACCCTTAAAAAATGTAAAACAATCTTACCTTGGGCAAGATTTGGCCTTCGGGCCATGGTTTGTTTACCTCTCTTGTAGAGGGCTTTCAAGTGACCCAAGTGATGAAAGGGTCATGAGTAAATGTTCCTTGAATAAATAGTGTATCATAGCAACTTGAGAATGTAGTGGTGGCTTCTACTTTTAAACATTATTTAAACTGGAGCACTAAGAAAGAACCAAGAAGGAAGTGAATGTAGCTGATTATATATTCAAGTAACTCATTTAGCCCCTTCCCCCAAAAGAAGAAAGTGAAACTGTTTACATATGGTCCTTGATTCTGCCTTACTGGAAAGGGTATTATTTGTGAGCATTCATATACCTGAAAACCAGCTTGTTGCTTGTATTAGGTTTTGAATGTTGTGCTTCTAATTTTATCTTTTACAGATCGAGATAGACAATGGGGATGAGTTGACTGCAGACTTCCTTTATGAAGAAGTACATCCCAAGCAGCATGCACACAAGCAAAGTTTTGCAAAACCAAAAGGTCCTGCAGGAAAAAGAGGAATTCGAAGACTAATTAGGGGCCCAGCGGAAACTGAAGCTACTACTGATTAAAGTCATCACATTAAACATTGTAATACTAGTTTTTTAAAAGTCCAGCTTTTAGTACAGGAGAACTGAAATCATTCCATGTTGATATAAAGTAGGGAAAAAAATTGTACTTTTTGGAAAATAGCACTTTTCACTTCTGTGTGTTTTTAAAATTAATGTTATAGAAGACTCATGATTTCTATTTTTGAGTTAAAGCTAGAAAAGGGTTCAACATAATGTTTAATTTTGTCACACTGTTTTCATAGCGTTGATTCCACACTTCAAATACTTCTTAAAATTTTATACAGTTGGGCCAGTTCTAGAAAGTCTGATGTCTCAAAGGGTAAACTTACTACTTTCTTGTGGGACAGAAAGACCTTAAAATATTCATATTACTTAATGAATATGTTAAGGACCAGGCTAGAGTATTTTCTAAGCTGGAAACTTAGTGTGCCTTGGAAAAGGCCGCAAGTTGCTTACTCCGAGTAGCTGTGCTAGCTCTGTCAGACTGTAGGATCATGTCTGCAACTTTTAGAAATAGTGCTTTATATTGCAGCAGTCTTTTATATTTGACTTTTTTTTAATAGCATTAAAATTGCAGATCAGCTCACTCTGAAACTTTAAGGGTACCAGATATTTTCTATACTGCAGGATTTCTGATGACATTGAAAGACTTTAAACAGCCTTAGTAAATTATCTTTCTAATGCTCTGTGAGGCCAAACATTTATGTTCAGATTGAAATTTAAATTAATATCATTCAAAAGGAAACAAAAAATGTTGAGTTTTAAAAATCAGGATTGACTTTTTTCTCCAAAACCATACATTTATGGGCAAATTGTGTTCTTTATCACTTCCGAGCAAATACTCAGATTTAAAATTACTTTAAAGTCCTGGTACTTAACAGGCTAACGTAGATAAACACCTTAATAATCTCAGTTAATACTGTATTTCAAAACACATTTAACTGTTTTCTAATGCTTTGCATTATCAGTTACAACCTAGAGAGATTTTGAGCCTCATATTTCTTTGATACTTGAAATAGAGGGAGCTAGAACACTTAATGTTTAATCTGTTAAACCTGCTGCAAGAGCCATAACTTTGAGGCATTTTCTAAATGAACTGTGGGGATCCAGGATTTGTAATTTCTTGATCTAAACTTTATGCTGCATAAATCACTTATCGGAAATGCACATTTCATAGTGTGAAGCACTCATTTCTAAACCTTATTATCTAAGGTAATATATGCACCTTTCAGAAATTTGTGTTCGAGTAAGTAAAGCATATTAGAATAATTGTGGGTTGACAGATTTTTAAAATAGAATTTAGAGTATTTGGGGTTTTGTTTGTTTACAAATAATCAGACTATAATATTTAAACATGCAAAATAACTGACAATAATGTTGCACTTGTTTACTAAAGATATAAGTTGTTCCATGGGTGTACACGTAGACAGACACACATACACCCAAATTATTGCATTAAGAATCCTGGAGCAGACCATAGCTGAAGCTGTTATTTTCAGTCAGGAAGACTACCTGTCATGAAGGTATAAAATAATTTAGAAGTGAATGTTTTTCTGTACCATCTATGTGCAATTATACTCTAAATTCCACTACACTACATTAAAGTAAATGGACATTCCAGAATATAGATGTGATTATAGTCTTAAACTAATTATTATTAAACCAATGATTGCTGAAAATCAGTGATGCATTTGTTATAGAGTATAACTCATCGTTTACAGTATGTTTTAGTTGGCAGTATCATACCTAGATGGTGAATAACATATTCCCAGTAAATTTATATAGCAGTGAAGAATTACATGCCTTCTGGTGGACATTTTATAAGTGCATTTTATATCACAATAAAAATTTTTTCTCTTTAAGTTGTGTATGTTCTGTTGGTTTTTCTACTATAGTTTTTTTAATTGTTTGTGTAATGTTTCATAATTCAGTACCTGGTGTTAGGTTAGGAATCCCATTCATTTATTTGTTAATTAGTCTGCCTAAGTCCAAAAAGGATTTTAAGTAGCTTTAAACCTAGGCAAGAATAATTGTGACTATAGAGTGCTTAGATTAAAAATTTGCCACTGTTGTAGCAATAATAAAAATGCCATGAGTTATTCATTTTCTGTAACAGAAGCACCCCAGTACTGATTTACTTGACACTAAACTCAGACTTGCCACTGTATTCATTCATGTGAAAAATGTTGAATGCACTCCTGTGTGCGATTTGGTTTCAAATCCTTTTTATTAGAGATGTGACAAGATGGATGTCTTTGGTAGCAGTTTTACAAAAGATGCTGAAATAGCTTTAGAAAGGCTCATCGTTGGGCCGGGCACGGTGGCTCACGCCTGTAATCCCAGCACTTTGGGAGGCCGAGGCGGAGGTCAGGAGATCGAGACCATCCTGGCTAACACAGTGAAACCCCGTCTCTACTAAAAATACAAGAAATTAGCCGGGTGTGGTGGCGGGCCCCTGTAGTCCCAGCTACAGGCTGGGCAGGAGAATGGCGCGAACCTGGGAGGCGGAGCTTGCAGTGAGCCGAGATTGCGCCACTGCACTCCAGCCTGGGCGACAGTGCGAGACTGTCTCAAAAAACAAAAGGCTCATTATTAAAACTTTTAAACATTTAAGCTAAGGCATTTCTACTCAGAGCTAAAATAATGTACTAATGTGCCTGAGGTACGTACTGTAAACAGTTTGGTGTATATCCTTTCACATTTTCTTTGCAAATAGAGCCATAAGTTTCAGGATGGAATTTTTGTTGTTGTTTAGATGGCATCTTGCTCTGTCACCAGGCTGGAATGCAGTGGCGCAATCTTGGCTCACTGCAACCTCCACCTCCCAGGTTCAAGTGATTCTCCTGCCTCAGCCTCGCCAGTAGCTAGGACTACAGGTGTGCGCCACCACGCCCAGCTAATCTTTGTATTTTTAGTAGAGATGGGGTTTCACCATGTTGGCCAGGATGATCTTGATCTCTTGACCTCGTGATCCACCCACCTCGGCCTCCCAAAGTGTGGGGATTACAGGTGTGAGCCACTGCACCCGGCCTGGAATGTTCTTTTTTAAATAAAATACTAATTCTGGGCTTCATACTAGATTTTGACCCAGTAGGTGGGTCCAGGAATCAAATAGTTCTACAAATGATTCATGGCTAGCCATGACTGGGAACAGTTTACCTTAAATCATATAAATTGTAGCTCTCCCCCACCCCAATTCAGCCAACAAACTGAAGTTTTACACTGTACTAGTTATGATAGTGGCACTATCTCATAGAAGAAAGTTTAGGTCTCACTGTTGCCCAGTAGCTTCTACATGATTTGCCCGTGGCTCTCTACCTTCCTTGGTCAGTCTGCTTCAGTTCATTGACAGCTCTCTGTTCCTCTAGTAGACCAAGCACAGCCTCAAGGGCACTGAATGCGTTCCCCACGCTGGATCACTCTAACCCGGTATCTACATGCCTTCCTCACTTACAGGTCTCTGCTCAGGTGTCAGTGTCATCTCCTTAGAGAAGTCTCCCCTAATTTCCCAATCTGATTGTACTCCTTGTTCCTCTCACCTTAATCCTGCTTTATTCCTCCTCATGGCACTTAGGTATTCTATATCTGTGCCCATATTGTCTCTTCCACTAAAATACAAGTTCAATGGGGACAAGAAGCTTAGTTTCATTCACTGCTACATCCTTAGCACCTAGAAGTTTCTATGATATAGTGGGCATTTTTCAATTTATTGAATGAATAAATGAATTTGCCTTTCCTTGAAGAACAGCTGTGAAAGGAGCACATGCCAGCAGTGGTAGGTCACCAGAGGATCTGGCCTCCATCATTTTCTTTCTGGCCACAGGAAAACTCACTAGCACTGGCAAAATCTCTTGCCCTGCGAAAGCCATGGGTTCTACCACACAAAATGGCAGTACTGACCCATTCCTGAGCATCAAATGCCTTCCAGTAGGGATCTTCATTCAGCTGATTCTGTGCTCCAAAAAGATTGATACCAGCCTACTCAACTGTCAGTGCTGCTGCACTACCACCCTCATTTGCTAGGATTCAGCCAGGCTGTAGTTTCTTAGTGAACTCTGGATGGTTAATGGGAAAGAGGCAAGCCATGAACAGGGGTTAGATTGCATTTCTTAGTTTTCTATTACCAAGCTGTATTTATAATAAGACAAACTGGGCCACATCCTTGTGTGTGTGTGTGTGTTTCTGACTGCCACTTACTGGCTACATGACTAAATCATGATTTAGTCATACTAATGCATCACAAACTAGGTGATTTTCAATGTGATCTTCATGGTAGCTTATACCTGTAATCTTCATACTAACGAATAACAAACCATACCATACTAATGCATCACAAACTAGGTGATTTTCAATGTGATCTTCATGGTAGCTTATACCTGTAATCTTCATACTAACGAATAACAAACCATACCATACTAATGCATCACAAACTAGGTGATTTTCAATGTGATTTTCATGGTAGCTTATACCTGTAATCTTCATACTAACGAATAACAAACCATACCATACTAATGCATCACAAACTAGGTGATTTTCAATGTGATTTTCATGGTAGCTTATACCTGTAATCTTCATACTAACGAATAACAAACCATACCACACTAATGCATCACAAACTAGGTGATTTTCAATGTGATTTTCATGGTAGCTTATACCTGTAATCTTCATACTAACGAATAACAAACCATACCATACTAATGCATCACAAACTAGGTGATTTTCAATGTGATTTTCATGGTAGCTTATACCTGTAATCTTCATACTAACGAATAACAAACCATACCATACTAATGCATCACAAACTAGGTGATTTTCAATGTGATTTTCATGGTAGCTTATACCTGTAATCTTCATACTAACGAATAACAAACCATACCATACTAATGCATCACAAACTAGGTGATTTTCAATGTGATTTTCATGGTAGCTTATACCTGTAATCTTCATACTAACGAATAACAAACCATACCGTACTAATGCATCACAAACTAGCCCCCAGATGTGATTTTCATGGTAGCTTATACCTCTAATCTCACACTTTGGGAAGCTGAGGCAGGAGAATTGCTTGAATCCAGAAGTTCAAGACCAGCCTCAGCAACAGAGTGAGATCCTGTCTCTACAGAAAATTAAAAAAAAAAAATTAGCTGGGCACAGTAGCACACACCTGTACTCCAACTACTCAAGGTGCTGAGGCAGGAGGATCACTTGAGCCTGAGAGATCAAGGCAGCAGTAAGCCATGATCACACTGCTGCACTCCAGCATGAGTGACCAAGTGAGACTCTCCAAAAAAAAAAAAAAAAAAAAAAAAGTAGCAGTTTAAAACAACAGCTACCCTCCCTCACAAATCTACAGTTGGCTGACCTCTCATGTCTCATGTATGTTTGTGATCAGCTGGCAGGTGGGCTGATTAAGGATGACCTCATCTGAGATGCCTTGTCTCTGTTTTGCATGGTCTGTCATCAGCAGCATGTTACCCTTGGCTTGTTCTCATGTCAGTGGCAGGGTTCCAAATGAGAGAAGTAGTGCATTAGTGCTTTTGAGACCTGGGCTTGGAACTGACCATCACTTTTTCTGTAAGCAAGTTACAAGGCCAGCCCAGATTTAATGGTTGAGGAAATAGACTTTACTTCCTGATGGGAAAAATTACAAAGCCATATTGCAAAAGGCATCAAATATAATGAGTGGAGAATTGCAGTCTAATACAATGAACAAGGGAAAGAAGTTATTTAATCATTGGGGGTCTCAAAATTTCCTCAAGAAGTAAAAGAATAGAACCTACATTGTAGATTTATCAAATCAGATCATGCTTCTAAAACTCAGCACAATGTTTGGCACAATAACTTTCAACATATGACAGAGAAAATGATTATGATTAATATGATGCACAGACATCGTGTTAGTGGTAAAGATCGCAAACTGATACCAGATGCTAATTTCTGCCACGCAACTTATTAGCTATATAATCTTGGGTAATTTCCTCATCTGTAAAATGTGATTATTACCAAATTCATAGGATTGTTATAAAAATTAAAGCACTTCAAACAGTATTCATAAGTGTTTAATAAAAACAATCTATAACTTAAAAATTACAAATTTATATAGTTAGCCCGTTTTGCATCACTATAAAGGAATAACTGAGGCTGGGTAATTTATAAAGAAAAAAGGTTTGTTTTGGCTTACGGTTCTGCAGGCCATACTAGCACGGCACCAATATTTGCCTGGCCTTTGATGAAGGCCCCAGGAAGGTTACAATCACAATGGAAGGCAAAGGGGGAGCAGACTCTTTTAAGCCACCAGATCTCACACGAACTGAGTGAGAACTCACTCATCACCAGTGGCTCTAAGCCATTCATGAGGGATCATCCACCATGACCCAAACACTTCCCATCAGGCCCCACCTCCACCCCCAACACTGGGGATTACATTTAAACATGAAATTTGAAGGAGACAAACATCTAAACAATGTCATTCTACCCCCAGCCCCCCAAATCTAATGTCTTTCTCACATTGCAAAATATAATCATCCCTTCCCAAAGTCTTAACTCATTCTAGCATCACTCAAAAGTCCTAAGTCTCATTTGAGACTCAAGGTAAGTTCCTGCCGCCTATGAGCCTCTGAAATAAAATATAAGTTATTTATTTCCAAGATACAGTTGGTGGTACAGGCAATAAGTAAAACATTCTTGTCCCAAAAGGGAGAAATTGGCTAAAGAAAGGGGCAACAGGATCCTGGCAAGTCTGAAACCCAGCTGGGAAGACATTAAACTTTAAATACTGGCACTTTGGGAGGCCGAGGCGGGTGATCACGAGGTCAGGAGATCAAGACCATCCTGGCTAACACAGTGAAACCCCATCTCTACTAAAAATACAAAAAAAATTAGCTGGGCATGGTGGCGGGCACCTGTAGTCCCAGCTACTGGGGAGGCTGAGGCAGGGGAATGGCGTGAACCTGGGAGGCAGAGCTTGCAGTGAGCCGAGATCGTGCCACTGCACTCCAGCCTGGGCAACAGAGCAAGACTCCGTCTCAAAAAAAAAAAAAAAAAAGCCCTAACATATTCCTTGATTCCATGTCCCACATCCTGGCACACTGGTGCAAGGGGTGGGCCCTCGAGGCCGTGGGCAGCTCCACTCCTGTGGCTTTGCAGGGTGCGTGGCTTCCCTCATGGTTGAAGTTGAGTGCCTGTGGCTTTTCCAAGCTCAGAGTGCAAGCTGCTGGTGGCTCTACAATTCTCAAGTCTGGAGGGTGGCAGCACCCTTCCCATAGCTCTACTAGGCAGTGTCCTGCTGGGGTCTCTGTGTTGGGGCTCCAACCCCACATTTCAGTACGTACACTATAAGCCTCCCGCTGTACATGCTCTGTATAATTTCCACATACCCCTCAAATGTGGGCAAAACCTGTAAATATCATGGGAAATCATCATGGGAAAAACATCATGGGAGAGTATCTGTATTTGTTTTCTATTACTGAATAATAAATTACCACAAACTTAAAGGCTTAATGTGACCCATTTATTTATTTATTTATTTATGATGGAGTCTCACTCTGTCACCCAGGCTGGAGTGCAGTGGCACGATCTCAGCTCACTGCAACCTCTACCTCCCTGGTTCCAGCTAGTCTCCTGCCTCAGCCTCCCAAGTAGCTGGGACTACAGGTGTCCACCACCACGCTCGTCTAATTTTTGTATTTTTAGTAGAGACGGGGTTTCACCATGTTGGCCAGGCCGGTCTTGAACTCTTGACCTCAGGTGATCTGCCTGCCTCGGCCTCCCAAAGTGCTGGGATTTACAGGTATGAGCCACCACATCCAGCCAATGTGACCCATTATCTCACAGTTCTATATATTAGAAGTCCAGCACAGAACAGATAGATTCTCATACTGAGGATCATGCAAAGCTGAAATCCAGGTGTCAGCCCAGGCTGTGGTTATCATCTGAAGCTTGGAGTACTCTTCTAAGCTGACTCAGATTTTTGGCAGAATTCAGTTCCTTGTGGTTGCAACTGAGGTCCCAATTTTTTTTTCCTGCTTGCTGACAACTGGAAGGTAGGTCTCATCTCCTAGAGGCCACCTTTAGGTTTTAGCCAATGTGGCCCTCTCACATACTTCTTCAAGGCTTACAAGGAGAATTCTTCTTGCAAGGGTTCACTTGATTAGGTCAGGCCCTTTCAACAGTCTCAAAGTGAGTTGTTTAGGAACCTTAACTGCATCTGCCAAATTCCTTCAACTTTGTCATGTAACATAATCTAATAATGGACATATCATTATGGCAGTATCATCAAGGGATATTTTATTTGTGGTTAAATGATTGCTGTGAACACAATCTATAAATATATGACTAATAGGATTTTGTAACTGGCTCTATAAACTTTAAATTTTGTATCATTTTACAATTTACAAAGTGCTTGTATATATTTTGCATCATTTGATTTTCATGACTACCTGTCAGAGAAGCACAGCAGATATTAGCCCAATGTTATTAGTGGCTCACAGCAGCTAAGTGTATGTCCAAAGCTTTACAGCAAATTAGTAGTGGAGTCAGCTGGGCTTCAGATCAGAGTGTTTCCACCCTACATACAGCCCAGGCTCTTTTTGCTAACCCTGTAATTTTCAAACTGTGTTTGGTGATGCTTGAAGGAGATTTCTCAGGGATTACTGTAAGAACTGGGGGTGATACTAATGGGTAGGGCTAAGTGTTGATATGGTGGCTCTATTTTTATATTTTGGAAGTTCAACCCATGCTTTAATAACCACTGTCCTGCAACAGCCTATGCCTTGTTAAAGGTAAAGAAGAATATTTAGGAAAAAAATCAGTTAAAAAAATGGTTGAGATAGGTGTATATAAAAAGTCAAGAGTCTTTTCCAATAAAGTTTTAAGAAGCTGTCATCTCTTGCAGCAGCTGTTGAACCTTTTAAAAAGAAAGAAAAAAACAAAAGAACCACATTATACAGTTGCTTTAAAATATACACTCTGGAAAATATGATGAACCCCACCCCTTTCACTTTTTAAATAAGTATAAAAAATGCATACCTTCTTAATGTCTGGTCTCTTATTTTTCTTTTCATGCAGACATTGACTAGCAACAGAGTACATAGCTTCAACTGAAGTGGAATCAGCATCATTCATCTTTTTATCAATATAATCTTCAATTGTCTTTTCTTCATCTTCAATTTCTTCTTTAATATCTAGCTTTAAAATGAGTGTTAAAACTTTAAGAGCTTCAAATCATAGTGAAAGAAAATAGAATATATATTTTAATTATTTAAATTAATCTACTTTGTAATAACATGTGCTCTCATTTTACTATCTTATCTTAAAACCTTATTAAGAATTGAAGACCCAGCCTGGGCAACATGGTGAAACCCTGTTTCTACTAAAAATACAAAAAATTAGCCAGGCATGGTGGTGCATGCCTGTAATCTTAGCTACTTGGAAGGCTGGCAGGAGAATCGTTTGAACCCAGGAGGCAGAGGTTGCACTGAGCCGAGATCACGCCACTCCAGCCTAGGTGACACAGCGAGACTCTGTCTCAAAAAAAAAAAAAAAAATTGAAGACATACAGGACAAATCCTATGTAAATAAGTACAGCCATCCACCACAAAATGACATTTTGGTCAATTGGTCAATGACAGATCACATATAGATGGTGGTCCCATAAAATTATAATACCGTATTTTTACTGTACCTCTTTTATGTTTACATACACAAACACTTACCAGTGTGTTACAATTGCTTACAGTATTCAGGAGAGTATTATGCTGTATAGCATACGTTTGTAGCCTAGGAGCAATACCATATAGCCCAGGTATGTCGTAGGTCATATCATCTAGGTTTGTGTAAGTACACTCTATGAGGTTCACACAATGAAACTGCCTAACAACACATTTCTCGGAATGTATTCCTGTCATTAGGCAACACATGGCTGGGTATGTGTATATATATATATATAAATATATATATATACACACATATATATATACAAATGTATATTTAATTATTTATACCTCCTAGATACTTCCACCCATTTGCCTTCCAATTTTTATATCTATGTTATGAGCTAATTGCTTATATGTTCCCATTAGCAGCATTTACTAGGTGGGCAGCACAGGGTGGTCTGCTTCTTGATGTGCTTCTAATAGCGCAATTCCAACTTTTGGACCCTGACTCCTCCTCCCTGTACCCAACAAATTTCTCTATGGGTACTAAGGTTGTTGAATCAAAGAGAAAAAAGGAGGGGAAAAAATAGGGAGCAGGCCATGATAAAAAAAAATTAACAGGGAGAGAAGTGTAGGAATAAGATCGTGGAGTTGGGTGAATCATGGTCCCCCAAAACATGTCTATGTCATAATTCCTGGAACCTGTGAATGTGATCTTATTAGGAAAAGAAGGGCCCTTTTAGGTGTAATTAAGTATCCTGAGATGAGATCATTCCAGATTATGGCTAATCCTGGAGGTAAGCCCTACATCCAATGAGCAAGGCAAGATTCTCTCTGGAGTCTCCAGAGAGAGCATAGTCTTGCCCATACCTTGATTTCAGACTCTGGCCTCCAGAACTATGAGCAAATAAATTTCTGTTGCTTTAAGTCACACAGTTTTTGGTATATTTTTATAACAGTCCTAGGAAGCTAATACAGATGAAAAAAACTATTCATGAGAGGTAGGATGTAAACTCTTCAAAACCACTTTCAAAGATAAATTCTGAAAATGTTTGACAACGGCAGAATCTAGTGACATAACGGTTCTTCAGATGATCACTTTTTTAAAAACTGTGCTTGTATGAAAATCTTATTACTTTAGAGTCACATCACAGTCAAACCTTAAGAATGGGTGAAAGAGTAAAACCTTCTCCAAAGATTTATGATTTTCACTATTATATGATGAAATGCAAAACTTGTGACTGAGATACAGCTTATGTTTTTCTGCATTTCATTCTTACTCAAGCCAAAGTTTTGAGGCTTTTATATATTTTGAAGGAAAAAGTCTTAGGCAAAACGATGGAAAACTTAGGTAAAGTATATGCTGCAACTTAGTGAATCAATCTGGGTTCAATCTTGAGCCCTCCATACCCACAGAGGAGGTCATAGGAACTCCAACTTGAAGGCAGTTGGTCAGAAGTTCTGGAGGCCTAAACTTACAACTGGTGTCTGGTGGGATGGCAGTCTTGGGGACTGAGCTCTTAACCTGTGGGATCTGACTCTGATGCTATGTCCAGGAATGTAGTGTCAGAATTAAATTGGAGGAGATCCAGCTGACTTCCGCTGCAAAGTAGATTGCCTGCTTGTTGGTGGGGAGAAACCCTTCCCAGTCGCATTTGGTCACAGAAATCTTCTGTGTTGATTGTTGTTGTGGTGTGAGAGCAAAGGAAAAACATGATATGAATTTTTCCTAACAATAGCAAATTTGGTATGTTTTTTATTGTAACTTTGTAAATAAAATACCCCATGATAGAAATAAGTGATAACTTTTACTAGCAATTTTATTCTGAAAGAAATTTGAATGGAAGCCTTTTTTTTCCCCCCTCTGAAAATGCTGGAAACACTGTTATTAACAGTAGCCACCCCAAAAGTGACACAAAATAAACATAAGCTAAAGAGGACCTCAGAAATCATTTAGTTCTATTCTCATTTTACCCACAAAGAAATCAGAACAAAGAATATATAAGTGACTTTTCTAGGCTTCACAAATACTTCATGGGAGAGCTGAGAATGAAAATATTTAATGCTTTTTCCATATGCTGTCGTGTAATAGCCAATGGAAAGATTGCCAATAGAAAATGTTATTTTTAGATGTCAAATTTATCCATATAAATTTAGACTACAAAAGCAGAGAAAAAAGGATTGAGGAAAATGAATATTTCATTTACCAATAACTGAGGTTCACGGTGTTCATCCACAGCTGGAAGTCCAGTTATTATTTCTAGTAAAACCTATGAAGACAAAAAAAATCATTAATATAATACACAAGATAGGCTGGGCACAGTGGCTAACGCCTGTAATCCCAGCACTTTGGGAGACAGATGTGGGAGGATAACTTGAGCCCCGGACTTCACGACCAGCCTGGGCAACAGTGAGACCCTGTCTCTACAAAAAATTTTAAAAAAACATTGGCTGGGTGTGGTGGCACACACCTGTAGTCCCAGCTACTTGGGAGGCTGAAGTGAGAGGATCACTAGAACCTGGGAGGTTGAGGCTACAGCGAGCCATAATTCCACCACTGCACTTCAGTCTGGGTGACTGAGTGAGACCTTGTCTCTCTAAAAAATATATATATTATACATGATATTAATAAATTATATATATAATACTCAAGACAAAAACTAGAATGAATATGAATCTTGCTTACAAAATTTGATTAATCATTCTATACAAAGCTATGTCTTTTAGATATTAAAGTGGAAAGAACATGAGCTTTGGGCATTTCTCACCATCCCTCCTTCAGGGACATCTTGGACCCCAACATGACCATAAGCAGCTCTTTTCTATTGGCAACTTACTAAAGAGTCAGCCCCACTCAACATATGTTCTAAGGACTCCCAATCCTTTTCCTGCCTCTTGGGGATTCTTCACAAGAATAATTTACTCTGGCTCTTAGGAGAATATTATTTTCTAAACATTAGGCATATTCTATAGCCCTATGCCTTATTTTCAGTGCTATGAAGTTAAATTTCCATATATGAAACACGTATGAAAAAATAAAATGAAGAAAAAGCCCCCGGCTTCTTCAACCACCCACACCTATCTCTTGCTCTATCTTAAAAGTTATTGGGAATAGAGAGGTAGATTAGTAAATGTCAAAAAATGTGAGACTAAAGTATATACTGTATGACATGATTCATTTAATGCATTAGGTGTCATGCTAATTCATAAAGACAGATGGCAAGAAAATCATTTCTTGTAGTCATTTCAAAAATCAACTCAAAAGTTTTACACATTGGAAGAAGTTTTTATAAACTTTCTGGTATAAGTAGAGGTTAATGTGAAAAACTTATATTGTTACATAAGAGAGATAAACAAGATGGGTGTATTAAATAATATTCTCTTCATTTTCACAATTATAGCAGAATGATTATTTTTAATAATTATGTATACGGAACTTACCACACCAAAGCTGTAAATATCAGATTTGGGTGTTATTTCTCCACGCAAAGCTTCTGGTGCCATATAAGCTGTTGTTCCCACAATTCTGCTAGTCATGACTGTCTGGGCAAACTTCTCAGAAGCCCGTGCAAGGCCAAAGTCAGATATTTTAGCAGTAAAAGCTTCATCCAGTAAGATATTTGCACTGAAAAAAATGTAAAGTTTGAAGAAAAAAATGTTTTTCCCACCCCAAAAAAGTCAAACAGTTCCTTAGCTAGATGTACGTATGTATGCATGTATATATGTATATGCATACATGCATATGTACATACATATTTACAGAGTGTAACGTTTTATAGTATGCATCATAAAAGCCTAAAGTTTATAGAAATAAACCTAGAATTCAGATTATAGCTAAAGAGAAGCAACTGTCCTCTTTTTTTATGTTTCTTGAGGAAAACATTTAGGAGAATAAAAATGAAATAAAACTGTCTACATTAGTAAGAGATATTTTCATTATTCCACAAATCATTTATTATAGGGTAAATTACTACAAAGTCTTCCAAGGCACCTTTATTAATTCCTTTCTTAGTATGTATCAATTCATTTCAAAACAAATTTCCAACCAAAGTATCTCAATTATGAATTTCTTTATTCTTTTGTTCTGTACTATCTGGCTTTTGAAGAGAAAAAAATATGGCCAAAATATCTCAATTAATTCATTATGTGCTTTCATACTTTAATTCAACACAATCTTATTGAGAACTCCCTATGTTGTGTAGTATTTAAGCTCACTGCTGGGCATGGCGGAGTCTTAAAATCTTGTCTGTGACAAAGGCATAAATAATTTTTTAAAACAATGGTAATATTAGGTACAAAATGCTGAGAGAACAACCATGTGCCTGGAAAAAGTAGGAAAAATTTCAAACAGAGGGTGAAAAGTGTGCTTAGTATTGAAGGATTATTAGAAGTTAATAGTTATATGAGGGAAAGAAAGGCACTCCAGGCAAATGGAGTAACAGGTACAAAGTGACAAAAACATGATATGGTATACATGGTCAACTTCAAGGAACGAGTGTCCAAGAAACATGGAGATAATTTGCATTTTATCCTGTGAGCAACAGGATACCAGCTAAAGTTTTCACAGTAGGAAACTGATGTTATTAGACTTAACTTTTAGGACCATGACCTAGTAGTGTGGTAGTGAATAGATGAGAACTGATAGGCTGGATTTAGGTTGACTACGAAGGTTTGTAACAAAGCAAATGGGAGATAATGAGGGTTTAAATGGTCATAACATGGGATAAATGGAAAGTGAAAATTTTGAGGCTCACACAACAGAATTTTGTAATTAGCATGATATAGAGAATGAGAACGTGTTCAGTTTGAGAGACAGAATGAACAGTGACTTCACTGGATCAGAAAGGAAATGTGGGAAGACTTTAGGTTGGGAAGAGCTGATGAGTTTGATTTCTAATGTTCTGACTTAAAGGCTACTGTGGGATACCCAGATGAAGTGTTTTTGGTACGGGGATACTAAAAATCCAGGATTGGAAGCTAATAATACAGATTCAAAAGACACTCACATATAAGTAGCAGTTAAAATTAACATAATATCACTCAGCAAAAACATACAGAGAGAGGCCAGGCGGGTGGCTAATGCCTGTAATCCCAGCACTTTGGGAGGCCAAGGCGGGCGGATCACCTGAGGTCGGGAGTTCAAGACCAACCTGATCAACATGGAGAAACCCCATCTCTACTAAAAATACAAAATTAGCAGAGCGTGGTGGTGGATGCCTGTAATCCAAGCTACTCAGGAGGCTGAGGCTCGAGAATCTCTTGAACCCGGGAGGCGACGGTTGCAGTGAGCCAAGACCGCGCCATCGCACTCCAGCCTGGGCAACAAGAGTGAAACTTGTCTCAAAAAAAAAAAAAAAAAGAACATACAGGGAGAAAAGAGACAATGATATAAGAACACAAGAAAGTACCAATCCATGAAGGATAGGAGATGGCGTTTCTTTTCTCATCTAGGGTCAGTTCCTCTGCTTGAGCTGCTTTCTACATTCTCAGTAACCCTACTGAACACATCATCTCATTTCTCTCTTCCATACTATCCTCTCCCTTTTAATCTGGATCCTTCCTATAGGCACATAAGCACAGCTTAATCTCTGCCAGCTTAAAAAAAGTTTCCTGAATGACTTATCTATTTCTAGCTGTCCCCTTCACTAGTAAAATGTCTTAAAAGACTTGTCTATACTCCTATCTCAGTTCTCTAGCTCTCACTCTCTCAACTACAATGTGATTTCTAAACCAACTACTACCTGGAAATGGGTTTCCATAAAGTCACCAAAGACCATGGTGATGCTAATCCAATGATTAAAGCCCTTGACTCTTTTTGACTACTCCCTCTTGGGAAACACTTTCTTTCCTCGTTTTCAGGGACTCCACACTCTCCAGGTTTTCATCTTACCCTTCTCTGTATGTGTACTTCCTTAGATTCCTTTTTGTGATCATCTCTTCTATTTGGCCATTAAGTCTTAGGGTTCCCCAAGACTTAATCTTGTGACCTTTTCTTAATCTACATCTCCCCTCAAGTGAATACAGTCACTTCAATTATCACCTGTATGCAAGTAATACACATTTATATCTTCAGCTCAGACCTCCAGCTCCAAATCTGTATATCACACTGTCTACCATCTCTACTACTACATCTTAAAAGCACCCCAAACACAACATGTACAAAAGAGAATTCACATTTTCTAACCATCTCTCTAACCCCAACCTAACCAAGTCTTTTTTCAGTCCTTTCTACATAAGTGAATCATGCCATAATCATTCCAGAATGCAAGTCTGGATGCCATTATTCCAGGAGTCATTCCTGATACTTCGCTCTTCCTGAACCCCTGCATAGCCAAGGTATCAACAAGTTTTGCCATTTTAATCTTTCTAATCTGCTCCCCTCTCTTCTTATGAACTGCCACCTATGATAGCCTACTAACTGCCTCTTCTTACAAACTGTTCTCTACACTAGAGTTAAAATCATCTTTGCAAAACTTAAATATGATGCCATATTCCTACTTAAAATTTTCAACGGCATCTCATTACACTTGTGATAAAACTAAAAGCCTTACCTTGATCTATTAAGTCCTATAGGACTTAGCTTCCTACACTTCTCTGTAGTTTTATCTCCAATCCACCACCCTATAACTTTCTGCATCTCAGTCATACTGCATTTACTTCATTTTTTTTTAGACAGAGTCTTACTTTATTACCCAGGCTGGGGAGCACTGGCACGATCATAGCTCACTTCAACCTTGAACTCCTGGGCTCAAGCCTCCTCCCTCCTCAGCTGCCCTAGTGTCTGGAACTGTAGGCATGCAATACCACGTTTGACTAGTTTTTTTGTAGAGATGAGGTCTTGCTATGTTGTTCAGGGAACATAGTCAGGTCTGCTACTCCTGGCCTCAAATGATCCTCCTATCTTGGCTCCCAAAGCATATTTCATTTCTTGTAACTCATCATGCTCCCATATTCTGTCTCACCACTGGTCTTACAAATGCAGTTCCTTCTGCCTAGAATGTTCTTCTCCCCATCATCCATTCTACAGTTACCCTCAAATTGTGTCTACTTATTTCCTGCCCATTCTTTGAATCTCTGCTTAAATGTCACTTTCTTGGAAACCCTTCTTTATATTAATCCTATGTACTATACTATATAATAATAATACATATAATATATATGTGAACTGTACATATTAACATTCTATAATTATTTTGTGCTTATTTGATTGATGTTGAGCTCTATATATGAATATGTTACTTATAGTAGGTAAATATTTAACTAGATAAATACACAAGAAAGAAAGAGAACTGAAAAGTACTCATGGAGGATGAAGGTGATTCAGAAAAGAATAGTGATCCATAAACTAAGAAAACAACTAATTTCCATAAGGCAAAAGTGTCAAGAAGAACAGAATAAACTACTATTAAAACAAACAAAAAAGGTCAAGTAGGATGAGTACTGGAAGTAGGTCACTGGGCTTGGAATAAAGGAGATTATAGATGTCCTTATTGAGAAGAGCTTTCATGGAGTGATGGGAAAAAAGTCCAGATGCTCTAGGTTAAGACCTGCATATGAATCGTGAATAGAGTGACAGCAAATTATTCTTTAAAGACAGCTTTCCAAAAACTTTTAAACAGTAGCATTTACCTTTTAATATCTCTATGAATATGATGATTTTCATGTAGAAAATTGATGCCATTAGCTGCACCCTGAGCAATCTTGCATCTCATGTGCCAAGAAAGTGGTGGAGTACCATCCTTATAAAGAAATAAACCAAATTAAAAATGAGAAAGAATAATAAAAAATCTACAGAGAATATATAACACAGAATATTTTTCTAGGCAACAACTGAAGATGATGTTATAGCATTAATAATTTAGGACTACATTTTTAAGTTATTAAAAATAATATCTAAATAAGCTCAAATGGGTGTTTACATTTGTTATTTGAAGATAAAAATATATAAAAGCATCTTCCTAGTATAGTCTTAACTGAATTCTACATTTAAGATTACCACCTAATAAAATGGCAACCCAGTTGTTGACATATCAACTGTATAATTTGTTGACATATCAACTGTATAATTTTCATAGAGCAGGAAAAATATGAAAGTGAATTTGGTTTAAATAATCCAGTAACAAAATGAATATTAATATTCCAGCATATAAACAAAAAGCCAAACAATCTGATGAACAAATAGCTTACCAAGCAAGAGAGTCTGTCTAGCAATGAACCATTAGGCATGTAAACATATACTAAGCAGAGGTCATCTCCATCACTTGAGAAACCAAGTAGTTCTACTAAGTTTTCATGTTGACACCTGTGACAAATAATTTTTCATGCAAAATTATTATAATAAATATATATTCAGCTATAGGTTGGAAGTTATTCAAAGTTTTAATAGAAAAAAAGAGCAAAAAAATAGTATGTTATATATTATTTCTAACTTGATGTTTATGTTTATATATGTTTATTGTAACTGTTTATAATTTTCTGCAAATACTTCTCTTTTCAGCCAGTATTAATCAACATTAGAAGTAAAACCTCTTTTTCTTTTTTTTGAGACAGGGTCTAACTCTGTTGCCCAGGCTGGAGTGCAGTGGTGTAATCATAGCTCACTGCGGCCTCGACCATCTGGACTCAAGTGATCCTCCTAACTCATCCTCCCAAGTAGCTTGGACTACTGGTGTACACCACACTCAGCTACTTTTTAAATTTTTTTGTAAAGATGAGGTCTCACTGTGTTTCCCAGACTGGTCTCAAACTGCTGGCCTCAAGTGCTCCTACCACTTTGGCCTCCCAAAGTATTGGGATTACAGGTGTGAGCCACTACAGCTGGCCAAACCTCTTTCTATTTTACAGTAAAAGCTAAATAATTCAGATTTTTGGAACTTGTGATAAGTTTGGTTAAGGACTAGGCTGATGCTCACTTTCTTTAGCCCAATTTTCAATGATGGCACAAATAAGATTTCAAGAAGTCCGTTGAATTTTTATGCTAATACTGTCAAGAATTTTCTAACACACTCAAAGCACTGATTTACAGACATGATCTTGAATCACATCTAATTTACATGTTTTTGATCTTTAATCACACTGGATTATTTATAACCTAATTTGAGTGTCTTTATATACTTGAGAGTAATAAAACTAAAGAGACCTACAATCTAATAAAGTGGCAGCATCTGTGGTAAGACGAAAGAAAACAGGGCTCAGAGTTATACATCCTAAATTTAAAGTCTAGTTCTGCCCCCTCCTGGATATGTGACCTACCGCAAGTTAACAGCCTTACTGAGCCTCAGCTCCTTTATCTGCTAAATGCAGAAAACAGTATGTAATATGGATGCTGAGACAATTAAATGAGCAAATGTAAACATGACAGCCTAGAAACGTATCTGGCACATGATAAGTGTTTTATTATTTAAGTGCTTATTCATTTTGTTCATTCAAAATGATCCACAATTCTAGCAGTTCATTATATCAATTTCTTCTAGTCTCATAAATATTTGAAGAAGTGCAAATTAAAACAGTAAGTGTCCCATTTTCCACCAAACTGGCACATTTTAAACATGAGTAGTTAACGTTTGCTGAATTTATACTATAAACGAGGCAGTGTGGCAAGTGATTTATCTGTTTTATTTAATCCTCACAATAACTTAAGTAAGTACTATTGTCCCATTTTATAGATGAGAAAATTAACGAATAGAAAGTTAAAAAACTTGGCCAAGTTCATTCTGCTAGTAAGATCCAGAGACTGGCACTTATTAAAAAATTGTAATAATAGGCCGGGCGCAGTGACTCACGCCTGTATTCCCAGCCGAGGCAGGCAGATCACGACGTCAGATCTAAACCATCCTGGCTAACGTGGTGAAACCCCGTCTCTACTAAAAATACAAAAACAAAATTAGCCGGGCATGGTGACGGTCGCCTGTAGTCCCAGCTACTCTGGAGGCTGAGGCGGGAGAATGGCGTGAACCTGGGAGGCGGAGCTTGCAGTGAGCCAAGATCGCACCACTGCATTCCAGCCTGGGCAACAGAGCGAGATTCCGTCTCAAAAAAAAAAAAAAAAAAAAAAAAAGTAATGATATTAAATGAAGGTAAGGAACCAGTAAAGTTTGAAATTGTAATACATTGCTGGTAGTAACTTATCTCAAAAGCCATTTGAATGTGTATTTAGAAAGTCTTTAAAAAGTTCATGCATTCCTACCTAGTAATTCTTTTTCTAGGACTTTACCCTAGATGATAAAGTAAGTATAACTGCATTTAAAGATTTATGTGCAAAGAACTTTAAAGAAGCTTTATTTTTAATACTGAAAATTAGAAACAAACCTAGCTATGGTTAAATAAAATATGATTTTCACATATGCTAGACTGTTGTACAATAATTTAAAATGTTTTCAAATTATTTTTAGTGACATGGGAAAATGCTACACACACATCATGAAGCAAGTATATAAAAATATTAGCAGTGGTTATCTCTGAGTGATATATTTGAGAGATGGTTTGTATTATTAAGTTCCGGGATACATGTACAGAATGTGCAGGTTTGTCATACAGGTAAACGTGTACCATAGTGGTTTGCTGCACCTATCAACCCATCACCTACGTATTAAGTCCTGCATGCATATAGGCTTGTATATTTTAAAAATGTTTTCCTGTATTTTCCAGATGACCTACTGTGAACAAGTTACTTTTAGAATTGGAGAGTAGGGGTAGGAGTGAAGAAGACAAATCCTGAAAAAAAAAGTTTGATCTTTTTTCAGCATGTATCATTTTTACCGTGCATAAATCAATTCTAGTCTATTCTTCTTACTTGAGGTTAGGTAACTATGATTGGTGATTTACAGCAGTGGGTTTAATGGGTATAATTTGGTAAATCCCATTACGATTCAGATCTAAAGTTCAGGCTCCGCAATCAAACAGATCTGGATTTCAATCCCATCTCTAACACTTACTGGCTATGTGATCTTGGACAAGCTATTTAATGTTTCTAAATCTCAGTTAACAAACAAAATGGGCAGTTGTAACAGTTGTAAGGGTTAGACAGACAATGCACATAAAGTACATAGCACAATGTCTGGCATGTTGCACACACTCAAATATCAATCACTATTAATCACTATAATAATTAGAATACATTTCCTACTTTGTCCCTCCTACTTTTCCTGATGATGTCCAACAATTTTCCAGCACACAGGATCAATGCCTTCTAAGCATCCTTACAGATAACATGACTCTAGTTGCTCTATAGATGCTACTTTATATATAAGGGCCTATTACTCTATAGATAGTTGTTTTTAAGTATCTCTACAATTGATCTCTCATGAATTCTGGAAGTGGAAAACATGATAATGAAGGACATGATAGTGAAATTTCACGTAACTTTGTTGTGACTTAAAATAATGACTGCGGCCAGGCGTGGTCACGCCTGTAATCCCAGCTCTTTGGGAGGCTGAGGCAGGTGGATCACAAGGTCAGGAGATCGAGACTATCCTGGCTAACACGGTGAAACCCCGTCTCTACTAAAAATACAGAAAAAAATTAGCCAGGCATGGTGGCACACGCCTGTAGGTCCAGCTACTCGGGAGGCTGAGGCAGGAGAATCGCTTGAACCTGGGAGGCAGAGGTTGCAGTGAGCCGAGATCATGCCACTGCACTCCAGCTTGGGCAAAAGAGCGAGACTCTGTCTCAAAAAAAATAAATAAATAAAAATGACTGCTATTTAATCTCCAGGCATATGAGTATATGTAATCATAGAATTATGGAGCCAAAAGTACTTTCAATTTCTCTAATCTAAACACTTTATTTTAATTTCATATATGTGCAAACATCACTAGTTCATGGCATACTCTAGAGTGAACCAGGTTCTTTACTCCTTGTCTTTTTTCTTTCCACTACACCGCACTGCCAGATTAAGACTTACTTTGCCATTACTTTTATTTCTTGATCAAACTGCTGTTTCAGTTCTTCAGTAGTAATGTCAACCATCTGAAAAAATAAAATATACAATGTAATACTACACAATTCTAAGGTTCCTAATGCTCAGAGGGATCAAGAGATCAGCTGGCTCATCTCCCTTTCTTTAAAACAATAGTGTATTATTCTCCCAATTCTACAGAATAACTGAGATCTAGAAATACTAGTGATTTGCTCAAGGCCCATGGCTGGTTAGTGGAATGAAAAATATATATAAATTTCACTGAGTTGTGGAAACAAAATGAAATAACACGAAATTTCACTACACAAAAAAATTTGAAAAAAATTCTAGGAAACAGAAAACATAAGCAATTTAGGTGCAAAATGGAAAAAAAAACCCTACAAAAGCCCTGCAACATATATGACAAAGAGTGACTATCTTTATCACATACATATGCATTCTATTGATATTTTTAGGCTCTAACAAAAGATTTAGAATATAACAAGTAAGTAAAAGGTAAACACCTCAGTAGAAATGGCAACAAAGGACACAGATAAAAAAAATTTTAATGTTTTTTCTTAATGTATACTTCCTAAATTTTATTTTTAAATGGGAAAAGTAATGCAAACAAGGTTTTTTAAAAATAGTTTTCCTGGTATCTTACCATTTTAATCTTGATTACACATGAAGCACTATGTGGAGCAGGGCTTCTCAACTTTAGTTTGTGAATCTCCCAAAATTGTATGTATGATCTTGTGTACATGGACATAACCACATTTTTCTAGGGGTAGGGTCCATAGTGTTCAACAGATTTTAAAATTTTAAGAACTACTATTTAGAATGATGTTTATTTAAAGAAAATACATACTGAAATAATGTATTTCCTAAAGATTAACTTTAAAACCTATTATAGGGCACACTATGAAGCAACTCTTTCTTTTTATTCCTGAAAATATAACTTACTGCTGCAAGCTTCTTCACTGCCACAGTTGTGTTATTTACGTAGCCTTTATATACAACTCCAAATCCTCCCTCTCCCATTTTATTACCACCAACAGAAATGGGTCGTTCATCAAAGTTATTTGTGACATTCTTCAATTCATAAAATGAAAAACTGTGAAAACCTATGTCAAAATAAGAAAAACATGCTTAAATTTTAAAAATTCGTTTTAATAATTATAATATTTTCTCATTTGAAGATTTCACATATATGCAAATATTTATGATTTTGAATTAGACAAGATGAGAGAAGATAAAACCATTTCTAAAATACAAATTATAAGTTTTTCTTGAGAACTCTGTTTGGTGATCCTACCCTCTGAACACTGTAGTCACCCACCCAAAATTCTAGTCACACATTTGAGTGGGTCTAGTCTACCTACCCAAAACTCTAGTCACATATTTTATTTTAAAAAGTGACCTTTCCAAGTTATGTAAATATTTACTTATTTTTTTTCATAGCTTCTCTGGTTGTTTGCATGTCCTATTGCCTCTAATCACTGATTAATACAATGAAGATGGTTCTTAATATATCAGGAGGAAACAACTCACAAAAGAGCTATTGCCAGTGTGCCTGTGATTGCTGCACAAACAAAAGAGCAAGAGCTTTCTTTTAAAGCACTGGTAGTCTTAATGACAAATCCCTAGTGGAAAGCACTGAAAATGTTACTTACGTGTATCACTAACTTCTAAACTTTTATTTTCTGGACTTGAGGAGTCAGGTGGCATATAGCTTTGTTCAAGATTCTGCACAGGTGTCATCAATGTCCTGTCTTTGTCACAGAAAGGCATCTGTTTTTGCTGAACTGTTATAGCTTCTTTAGAAGGTAGTGTATTAGCAGTTTTGGGAACAGCATCTAACAAATGAAGTAAGATACAAGTGGTTTTTCAGTAAGAAAAAGTGGTTGTGAAAAAGTTAAACTAGAAACTTGGTTCATTTAATATCATTCCAGTTTCTACAGGTTGGTCTCATATTCTCACAGCACACACAAGAAGCTGCCTAGTAAGAATCTGTAAGTTATAATGAAGATGGGTAAAGAGAGTAAGGCAGTGTTTTCAAACAGTGATCCATGAGCCACCTATATCAGAGGCACTGAAGCACCTGTTTAAGAATATAGACCTTAAACCCAATTCCAGAATTCTGATTACATAGATTTGGAACAGACCCTAGGAAACTACATGTTTAACCAGAACCTAAGTGATTCTTATGCATGATAAAGGTTGAGAACCACTGGTGTGAAAGGCATCAAAGGAAAAAAAGAAAGCTTATAAGGAAGGCAACTAGACACTACCACATCAGAATACAATTTTTTAAAATTATGATTATAGAGTCCCATCAGGGTAGAAGTTGAAGATGAAAAAAAGGAAGAACTCAAAATTATAATTACTTTCTTACAGCCTAAGCCAGAAGTATGAAGTCTTTCCTTCTAAACTTCCTGTTGGCACAAAACTATCTAACTCTTACGAAGCTTCTATCACCTTAGCAGCAGAGTCCACAGTGTCCTTTGTCTGTGCTGCTTTTTAAAGAGTTGAGGAGTGCTGAAAGAAAGGGACTCTCAAATGTAAGCTTCATCTACTATGAGAAAAAAGGAAGAGTAAGAAGAAACATTTATATTTCTGCCATTTGTCTTTCCACCCTAATTGTGGACACCCTGGTCACAATCAGTTTACCTGGGAGCAAAAGACTCGCAGGAGCAAAAAATTCATTTTGGATCAAAAGATCCACAAGATCACCAACTGTGCAATTTGTGGTGCCCCAGTCAAACAGTAATTCAGAAGTGGGACTTTTTCCAGTTTGAAGTAATGCTTCAAATCTCCTTAAAAGTAAGTAACAAAGAAACAAAATTAGTCTATTGTCTTAGTCCATTTTGTGCTGCAATAATAGAATACCACAGACAGGGTAATTTATAAATAATAGTTAATTTGGCTCACGGTTCTGGAGGCTGGGAAGTCCAAGATCGAGAGGCTGCATCTGGTTAGGGCCTTCTTGCTACATCATCTCATGGTGGAAGGGCAGAAGGGCAAAAGAGCATGCACACGTGCATGTGAAAGAGAAAAAAAAAGAGAGAGAGAGAAAAAGAAAAATAGGGCCTAACTTATCCTTTTATCAGAAACCCACTCCCTAGATAACTAACCCACTCCTGCCATGACGACATTAATCCACTCATAAGGGCAAAGCTCTCATGGCCTAACTACCCTTTAAAGGTCCCACCTATCAACCCTGTTGCAATGGGTATTAAGTTTCTAACACATGAACTTTTGGGGACACATTCAAACAATAGCATTTATAAACTGAGGTCATATGAAAATAGGTGTTGATCTCCCCTGCCCATTTTGCCCACAGCATCTCCTACAACATTAAAGAAAAGGGACAACAAGAGAACCAGCAAGAATTACAGAGAGACAGGAAAGATAGGAGGAAAAAAGATGCCAAAGATGATGATAATAATTTACTGGGTACTTACTGGATATTTACTTAGTGGGTTATAGGATGCACACACATGAGCATGTTCAAAGATATTATGATTATCATATGAATTTACTAGTGAAAAAGCCAGGCTTGGAGAGGTAGAGTAACCAGCCCATAGCCACACAGCCAATATGATGTATCCAAGTTGAGGTACAAATTCAGATCTCATTTGACAAAAGAGTGTATTCTTAATCTACTAGCAATATTACTTCCCACATGACTTAAGACTCTGATAGCTATATAATTTTTAATAAATGCACCTGCTTAATTAAAGAAACAGAACACACAAAAACTTAGGAAATTATTCCTTTGATCTTAACTGTAATTCAATTAAATTGAAAAAAATCACAAAGTCGGCTTTCAACCCATTTCTTTCCATTTCTTTAAAATCAAAAATTAGTTTTGAAAAGTAACATTTAAAAATTTAACCAATATTGTTTCTTTCTGTTTTTCCTCTAAAGATTTTATTTTTAAAAATTTCAAACTTACAGAAAAGTTGAAAAAATGATAGAATGAACAACCATTCACCTAGATTCACCAATTGAATAATTGATAAAATTGTGCCATATCTGGGCTCTTGTGCATTCTCTCTTTCAATCTGTGTCTGTGGGTGTGTGTGTTTTAGAATACGGGCCAGATGTCTTATAGAATGGGTCTAACAGCCTAGATTTATCTGACTACTTTCTCATGATTAAATTCAGATTAAGCATTTTGGTAGAAATACTACATAGGTATAATGTGCCTTTCCCATTGTATCACATCCAGGGGTACATATTAGCATTTTGTACCATTATTATTGGTGCTAAAGTTTGATCACTTGGTGAAGGAAGTGTACTTCAGATTTCCTCATTAAAAATGTACCCTTCTCTTTCATACTTCACAAGTAATTTGTGTACAATACTTTTTCTCTATCTATTGAGGGGGTCTTGCTCTGTCACTCAGGCTGGAGTGCAGTGGCATGATCATGGCTCACTGCAGCCTTGACTTCCTGGGCTCAGGTGATCCTCCCACCTCAACCTCCCAAGTAGCTGGGACTACAGGCGTGCACTACCACACCCAGCTAATTTTTTGTAGTGATGGGGTTTTACCATGTTGTCCAGGCTGGTCTTGAACTCCTGGGCTCAAGCAATCTGCCCACCTCGGTCTCCACAAGTGTTAGGATTACAGGCATGAGCCACTGTGCTCAGCCTATAATACTTTAAAATCTTGTGCATATCCTGCTCACATGCACGAGAACAACCACCTTTCACCTTATGCTTTTAGGTTCAGTGATGAGCCTTGCATGAATCAGTTACTCATTGGTGGTTGCAAATAGGTATTTTTCTCATTCTACCATTCTTTTCACAATTATTTGCAGGTATTATTCTGTAAAGAAAAGCTTTTTCTGTCACAGGAATGAGTCTTGGAAAAAAGAAAAAAAAAAGAGAAGAGCTTTATCTTCCTGCCACCACTGCCCCAATTATCTTCCATAAGTTTTTAACAGTAATATCAAAAAATTATCTTTAAACATTGGCTTAACACAGTTTAAACTTAAGCTTCTTTCAAGTAATTTAACATGTTCGCTCTTCTTATGAGGAAATATTTCCTGCAAGGGAGCCAAGTCTTTTAGGTTCTTTCCCAGATTAATGCTGAAAATAACAAATAGTCTTCTTTTCCTTTTGCTACCAAAGAAACATTTTGACATAGGTTTTAACTGCAATGACTGACAAAAATAAAATATGCATGCATATTTTACACTAAATTGAGCAGAGATGAGTAAAAAGGAAAAATTGAAATTATCTGAAGACAGCACTGAGAAATCCTAGCTAAGATTTAAGAATTCTGTGCACAGAAGTGTACACTTGTAAGCAACAACTTTAAAACGTCAAATTGAAAAAGTCCCAAAATACATTGTTAGAGTGTGTTAGAGATTCACACACTTTGAAATTTAAGCTCTAGATTTTTACCAGACATTCTTGTAACATTCTTATTTTCCTTCAATCTGGAAATGAGAAGTGTGAGGCAGAGTGAACTTCACTTGGCTTGCCAAACAGGGAACCACAGCAAAGGTGGGAATCTTGATTCTAACCCAAAAAACTTATTTGAGAGATCACAGTATTAGCCCTATTGACATATGGGACAAAGAAGACAAAACTGCAAAAGGAACAATCAAAAAGAGGTTACCTACTACCAATGTCTCCTCCATAGTGGAGAGGTTTACTTTCTAAACTGCCACATTAGACAGTACTTATACCAATTAATCATTCCATATTGTGATGTAAGAATTTAAAAATACAAAGAATTTTATCTGTTACCTTATGTGAAACTGATTGTATCTATCATCACCAGATGGTTTTTTAATAGCTACAGCTAACTTCTTCCATCCTTCTTGAGGATCAATAAAATCTGACAGCTTCCTAATTAGTCCAACATTGAGGCAGCGCACATATGTTGATGGTGTTATGGGTTTGTTCATCTTCTATTCCTAAAATATGGAAAAATCTCATTAAAATTTTACAGTACTTTTAGAGATGACATCTGTAAGCTTATATATCACACTTTGCTATATCATATGAAATGTCAGCAACTGATTATACCATAATAAAGAAACATTCCAAAGTCAAGTCATTGATATCCTAAGATGAAATTAAAATTGTAATTCATTTGTCCAATTATCCTCTGGGTTTGCTTCCTTTTTCCACCCATTAATAGCAATAAAAATCGGAGGACTTTTTTCTGACACTGATATTTTCCTAGTAAAATTTATAGAAAGGGGCAAAAAACTTACCAGAAAAATTCTTAAGAGTAATATCAACAAACTATCAGAATTAGCATATTCAGAAATCAAATCTATTAATAAAAACATTTACCTTTCAATTTATGTTTCTCAATTAGTACTTATTTACAATTAAAATTTATGCAACATTCTTTGGTAGAAGTAAAAAAAAAAAACGTACTGAAATGATTTGTGTAGCATTAACAGATATGGTCCACCCACCCACTTTTCACATACTTTGCTCTTCCTTGACCTCTGCACATTTTTTGAGTCCATGAGATCTGCCTGACCACAATTCATTTGCTACTACGCCAAAACCTGTGCTTCACCACTTCAACTACTCTCTAGACAGAATCTTTATTTCTGCAATCCCCCTTTACTTCTGCTACTCCATCCTGGAGAGCTGCAGCCAGGGATAAATCTAACAACTTTACTTGTACACCAGGGTTGCTGATGTGAATACAAATTTATGGTAACCCCCTTTCCACAGGGCCTTCAACACTGCCGTTAATCCTTCCACTTGTCTTCTCTCATAGTCCTTAGTGACTATTTCATACCTTTACTTCTTTCTATGTGGATTTTATTTGTTCTGCGTGTCCCTCATTCTCAATAGGAAATGATCTTTCCTTCCAATTAAGACAAATAGACTCAGATATTCTTCTGTCAATTATTTTTGCTTCCCTATATATATTTTAAAAATACAATTTTAGAGTAAATAATGTGTTCATATGGAACAACATTCTAAAACTATCAAAAAGAGTAAAAAGCGAAAAGCTTCTCTGTATCAGAGGCTTCTATGTTAGTATTCACTTCTTCTCTTTGGACTTCTTTGACCACATCTAAATAGGTCTAGCTGCCCTTCACCTAATTATCTTTCATCACTGCACAATGTATTTGTAATCATATACTTATTTGTTTACCTGTTTACTGTCTCCCATATTCGATTTTAAGATCCATGAGTTCAGGACCATGCTAATTTTATTCATGAATATACACCTAGTGACTTGCATACTGTAGATAATGGTATTGTTCAGTATTTACTTTTGGAACAACTAAATTATTTCCCAGTACAGTTTTATCATCTCTATTTTACAAAGGTGGTAAGTGAGAGATCCAGGACTTACAATTATGTCTGACTCCAAAAGTCATGCCATACAACTCTGCTTTTATAACACAATGCATTGTTCATGCCATTCTCTATTTCAGAAAGACCATTCCTTTCCTTTCATTCATGAATACATTCAGAAAATATTTATGTCAGTCTTTGTACTAACAAGTGGGAGCACAGAGAAGAGAAAATCTTTGTTTCCAAGCTGTTCAGTATACCAGGGGATACAAACAGTGACAGGGAGTGATAAATGCTGCAAGAATGTTATGGGGCCCAGAAAAGGGGCATCAAGCAGAGGCAGTCTGGAATAGGGATATCAAGACAGATTTGGTTGGAGTAGGAGGTTGGAAGGATGAATGAAAGGGAATGAGGATAAGCCCAAAAGAAAATTCCAGGCAGAGGGAATAGCATGGGAAAAGGTAAGAGCATGTGTGTCTCAGGCAAAGAGCTTGCTATGGCTGGACCACAGGATGCCTGTGATTAAGTGAGAAGAGATGAGGGTGGAAAGGTAGCAGGGCCAGATCATCATGTACCTCATGTGCTAAGACAAAGAGTTTGAACTTATAAACTAAAAGTTACAGGAGAGCCACTTTAGGATTTTTAGGAGGGATGTTAAATAATCTTATATGGTTAAGTGGATTCCTCTGGATAAAAATCAAAGGGATGTATATTGAGGCAAGAAAATTAGTTTGAAAACTTCTGCAATAATCCAGGTGAGCAGAAAGGAGAGCTTGGAAAAAGTATAGGGTAGGGGAATGGAGAGGTAAAACGTCAAAACATTTAGGAGGCCAAATCAAAACAATTTCACTAGAGATGAGCGATTAGAAGAAAGGGAGATAGAATGAAGTTTTTTTTTTTTTTTTGGCTCATGTTAAATGTGAAATATCTACCTTTGGCACTATCTAGGAGCCTTCATACCAAGTACTTATATATGTGGTCTGGAGCTTAGGAGAGAGGTTTCAGCAAAGAATGCTCATTATGTAAGTATTCTCATATATAAGGGGTTTTCAAAGAGTTCATGGAAAATGCATATCGTGCAAAAACCATGCATGGATTTCAATTTTTTTTTTTTTGCAAAATGTATTTCCAAAATAAACTCATACTAACTTATCATTCATGTCTAAACAGGATCTAGTTGAGACACTGAGAAGAATAAGACAGTTTGAAAAGAACCTCTACCACAGCAACATGAATTCTGCTAAAACTAAAGCAAGAACAAACACCACATTTATGGTGGAGGTTGGTTGGAAGAATGGTGAAATCACTGATGCTTTATTTATGGGGACAATGCCCCCAGAAAATCAGCAGTGTACAAATCAGTAACTCATTTTAAGGGATGAGATGATGTTGAAGATGAAGCCTGCTGCGGCAGACCATCCACATCGATTTTCGAGGAAAACATTCATCTCGTTTGTGCCCTAAATGAAGAGTACCTATAATTAACAGCAGAACCAACAGTGAACACCATAGACAACTAGTTCAGCCTATACAATTCTGACTGAAAATTAAAGTTGAGCAAACTTTCCACTTGATGGCTGCCCAAACTGTTGTACCCAGATCAGCTGCAGATGCGAGCAGAGCTTTCAATGGAAACTTTAAACAAGTGGGATGAAGATCCTAAACCATTTCCTCAAAAAATTGTAACAGGAGATGAAACATGACTTTACGAGTATGATCCTAAAGCACAATCAAAGCAATGGCTCCCCCAAAGTGGCAGTGGTCCAATTAAAGCAAAAGCAGACAGTCAAAAGCAAGGGCATGGCTGCAGGTTTTTGGGATGCTCAAGGTATTTTGCTTGCTGACTTTCTGGAGGGAAAAAGAATGGTAACATCTGCTTATTAGAGAGGGTTTTGAGAAACAGTAGCTTTTCTAAGTGTTTCTAAACTAAAGCTTTTCTGTTACAGCTTTAGTCAAATGTTTAGCAGAAAAACACCTGGGAAAGCTTCACCACAGAGTCCTTCTCCATCACAATGCCCCTGCTCTTTTCTCTCATCAAACAAGGGCAATTCTGTGAGTTTCAACTGGAAATCATTAGGCATCCACCTTACAGTCCTGATTTGTCTCCTTCTGACTTCTTTTTGTTTCCCAATCTTGAAAAATCTTCATAGAGCACCCATTTTTCTTCAGTTAATAATGTAAAAAAGACTTCATTGATGTGGTTAAATTCCCAGGACTCTCAGTTCTTTAGGGATGGCCCAAATGGCTGGTGTTATCGCTTACAAAAGTGTCTTGAACTTCATGGGCTTATGTTCAGAAATAAAGTTTACAGTTTTGTTTTTGTTTTTGGAGTCTTGCTCTATCATCCAGGCTGTAGTGCAGTGGTGCAATTTTGGCTTACTGCAACCTCTGCCTCCCAGGTTTAAGCGATTCTCCTGCCTCAGCCTCCCAAGTAGCTGGGATTACAGGTGTGCACCACCACACCCAGCTAATTCTTGTATTTTTGGTAGAGATGGGGTTTCGCCATGTTGACCAGGCTGGTCTTGAACTCCTGACCTCAGGTGATCTGCCCACCTCGGCCTCCCAAAGTGCTGGGATTACAGGTATGAGCCATAGTGCTGAGCCAAAGTTTACATTTTTTATCTTTTAATTCAATTTTTCCACAAACTTTTTGAAATGCCCTCATACAAATTAAGAGCATATACACATATACAGTTGAAGCAACAATAAAATGAGGTTGCCTATTAGGAATGCTTAGAATGGAAAGGAATGATGTGAAAGAAGAATTTTAAAAAATACTGCTTAGTCATGAAGGCAAGAAAAAAACCAGGATGGTAGCATACCAGAGACTTCTAGAAAAGGTGGCAGGTTGGTATAAAAGACTCAGAGAGGTCAAATAGACACTGATGGATATGTTAGACTCTGAAATCAGAAGGCCATTGGTGACTTGGGAACAGCTATAGTGAAAAAGTGAGTGAATGGCAAAAACAGATTTTCCAAGAAGTCTGGTTATGAAGGGAAGGAGAAAGAGAGAGAGAGGAGTATGAGGGGAGGGAAAATGGGGGTGGAGGGGTAGGGAAAGAGAGGGAGGAGAGCATGCAAGAGAGTAGCAGTTTTCAAATTTGGTCTCAGGACCTTTTACCCTCTTAAAAACTATTGTAGACCCCAAAGGGCTTTTGTTTATGTTGGTTATATCTACCAATATTTACCATAATAAATTGATGCTGAGAAACTTAAAAATTACTTATTAATTCATTTAAAATAATCATAAATATAGATGTTAGCATATATATTTTAATAAAATAATTACCTTTTCCTCAAAAACAGAAGAACAACATTGTTTTAAAGTTTTGCTAATCTCTTCAATATTTAACTTAATAGAAGAGAGCTGAATTCTTGTATCTGCTTCTGCACTCAACCCACTGCAGCATGTTGTTTTGGTTGATGTATATGAAGAAAATCCAGCTTCACACAGACATATAGTTATAAAGAAAGGTGTATTTTAATAGCCTTTTCACAAAGTAGTAGATATTTCTCTTTGATACTACACTAAAATTTGACAAGAAATAACTTCCTAAAGGTAAGCTGCAATGAGGAATCTGAAGCTGTATAAATTAACTTGGAACATTAAAATCCATTGCACTCTGAATGAATCTTTTAACTAAACATGATTTTGACCTTACAAATCTCCTGAAAGAGCATTAGGGACTCCAACCAGACTTTTGAGAACTGTTGGTGTTAAGGGTTTAAGACTTAAGCTGTTTGGCAATACAAATGGGATAATGAATAGCATATAGGGTGAAGAAATCAGCCTTGAATAGAGAGAAACCTCTTTTGAATCTAGAAAGAAGGAAGCAGAGGTTTAAATACAGATATATTTGAAGGGAGAAGAGTTCCCACATACTGTTATTTTTTCTGTGAAACAGGAAATGAAGTCATCTAGGGCCAGGTAAAAGAATAGCCCACATACCTTAAAGGCCACCTGGTAAATGCCTATTATTCCTTCAAGCCCAATTCAAAAGGCACTGTTAGCTTCCCCTGATTGTCATCTCTTTTGCTCCAAAATGTCACCTAGTCATTCTTCTGTTATAATAATTATTATGTTTTACTGTTTATGTGTTTGCTTTCTCTGTTAGATGGGTGCTCTCCTGAGCTAGGACCCAACCAAATTCACCTCAGCAACGACTCACAACATTTGTGTTGAATGAAAGGCTGATGACTTTTTAACTTTAATTAAGAAATTGTATCTAGGTTGCCTATAGACTCTGCAGTTGCTCTCTTCAAGTTATTTTTCCTTACTAAGATTTCTCTCTACTGTAAGGTACAACATGATTGACAAAGCTAGACAAGATAGAACTGCTTAGTAGTCTTATAAATTAGAGCAAAATACAAGGAATTGAGGAAAAAACCCAGACTATCTAAAGGCCAGGGATAAATTTGGTAGCTCTCCTGCACCCAGGCTTCCAGCAGAGGTGATAAGTGTAGGGATACTAGGAAAAAGAAGGCCTTCTGCAACTCCTCCACACATGTGCCCAGAAGTTCAAAATCCCAGAAATTAAAATTTTACTTTAAATGTATATTCATATACCACTCCCAACCACATACTTACAAGAACATAAGCCAAAATATTAACGTGGTTATCCCTTGGTGATGACTTTTATGATAGTTTTGTTTTCATTTTGCTTTTCTGAATTTTCAATAATGAAAACAGACTGGGCAAAAAAAAACTTAAAAAGTGTCATCTCTTTCAAATTCTTCAAGATTTACTTTAGTACACTTAGGATTAACACAGGTGGAACAGGATATGTTGCTTACAAATAAGTAAATACCTTCATGACTGTTTCCTCATACCACTAACTCTCATAGTAAAGAAAACCCATTCATATTTTCAAGTAAGACAATTCAGACAAGTGTAAAAGGTGGGGTGGTGATTGAGAAATATATTAAAATAAGCACCTGCTTATGGAATCCAATGCCTTCCCAAAGTACTGTGCCCAAAACAGGAGGGCAAAAGATTCTTGTCAAATGTGTTAATAAAGTTTTAAGACTGCTTCATTAGCACTTTGATCAGAGGAAAAGATTGTGCAGGGGTGGAGGGAAGATGAACTTTGAGGTTGCACAGGCCTAAGTTCTAACCAAAGCCAACTGTGACCAGAGCTAGTAAATACATTTCTCTGCACCTTGCTTTTCTTTATCTGAAAAACAGAGATAGTAATACCTAAGAATTGCTGTAAGAATTAAAATCAACACATGCAAAGGGCCAAATCTTGTCACATAATAATAGGTGGTCAAAAAAAAAAAGGAGCAATTATTATTTCCTGGCAGAAATTATTCTTATATCACATTATTTTTAAAGATATGTGCAGACTGTATTTAGGTTCAATTTCCAGAACAGTAGTGAGGATCTACTGAAAGCGTACAAATAACAAGTCTGAGAAAATAGCTAAGCTTTTGAGATGGTGGCTGTCTTATTTGATCAACCATGGTAATTTTAATGTATTTATATCCTTTCTAAAATACACTATTTACTTCCATATATTCTTAGCAAAATATGCTGTATAACCATTAATCTTTATTTTTAGATACTTTAACATCATCATTATGAACAAAAGCTGGTGAGGGCTTCCAGAGCTATTAAATTAGATAGGGCTGCCTATTACAAACTGGGATATGTGCTGGTGTACCATAAATTAAACTTAACATATCTTTCTTGAACATTGATCCAACACAACAGTAAGTAATTGAAAATGCTTTGCATATATTTAAAAAACAAAATATAATACCATTGACTCACCAAATATTTACTGAGTGTCTACTTTGTGCTAGATACTGCTCCAGGCC
Organism: Homo sapiens; assembly: GCF_000001405.40. NCBI lineage: Eukaryota > Metazoa > Chordata > Mammalia > Primates > Hominidae > Homo > Homo sapiens. The sequence goes on along the minus strand of NC_000012.12, from coordinate 43,760,925 downwards.
CCTGGAGATGAAGCATTAGGAAAATTAGAGAAAAAAAACAAAACAAAACCAAAACCTGAATTCATGGAGTTTATATTCTAATGGAGGAAGGAAGGCAATAAGCAAATAAATAAACTCTATAGTATGTTAGATGGTGCCAAGTGAAATGAAAGAACAAAACGAAATAGAGAAAAGGTTGTAATTATAAATATGGTAGTCACAGGAAGCCTCAATAAGAAGGTGCCATTTGATTAAAGGTCAAAAAGAAGGAGAAAGCCAGCCACTGGACTATCTGTGGGAAAAGTTTGTGGACAAAACGAAATGTAAATGCAAAGGTTGGAACTGGGCCCACTGGGCAACAGCAAGGACATGGTGAGACTGCAGAGGAGGGAACAGGCAAGTAGCAGATGAGGTCAGAAAGGTAAAGGGGCCAGGTCTTCAAGGGCCTTAGAGTTTTTGTATTGACTTTGTTTATCCTCTGGGTGAGATGTAGATGCTGGAAGTTTTGAGAAAAGAGACATGCTCTGTACTCATGTCTTAGAAGGATACTGGGGCTGCTGGGAATAAAGGATGTTGGAGTAAGGACAGAGAAGCAAGAAAGAAGCATTTAGGAGAGCCTACCAATAAGCCAGGTGGGACGTGCTGCAGGCTGGGACCAGGGTCGTAGCAGAGCAAGTGCAGAAGTCCTAGGATTCTGAGGTGGAGCCAATAGAAAGCTATGGGCTGATGTGGAGAGTGAGAAGACAGCATAACCAAGTTTACCGATATTTACTGAGATAGAGAAGGCTGAGGAAGGAGCAAGTTTGGCCTGGAATATCAGAAGCTCAGTTTGGAGAGGTAGAAAGCAAACTTCAAATGAACGCTCTGCAGGAAAACAGAAGAAATTTGAACTTCCCGATAGCCCTCTTCAAGGACCACTCCAAGAAAGGGAAAAGGCAGATTTTAGTATCCTCTGCTTACCAGGGGCCTTGGGCAGTTACGTTTTTGAAGCACTAATAGCGCCGTTTGTTCCCATTCTAAATGCTCAAAGTGCTTTCTCGCTTTCTCAGGGTTTGCTTTTTTTTTTTTTTTTTTCTTTTGAGACGGAGTCTCCCTCTGTTGCCCAGGCTGGAGTGTAGTGGCACGATCTCGGCTCACTGCAACCTCTGCCTCCTGGGTTCAAGCGATTCTCCTGCCTCAGCCCCCGGAGTAGCTGGCATTACGGGCGCCCGCCACTATGCCAGCTAAATTTTGTATCTTAGTAGAGACAGGGGTTTCACCATGTTGGCCAGGCTGGTCTCGAACTCCTGACCTCAAGCGATCCGCCCGCCTGGGCCTCCCAAAGTGCTGGGATTACAAGCATGAGCCACCGCACCTGGACAGGGTTTGCTTTTATCCCTTTGTCTCCCTCTGGCTTCCAAGCTGACAGGTACACTTTTTTCCCCCATCTGCGAATGTACTCATCTGATCCCATAAGCCGCCTCCACTTTCTAATTCCCTGGAAGCTTGGAGGCCGGAGAAACAAGCGAATTACAATCGTGTGGAGGCTCAGCGAGCTGCTGGCGCCACAGGCATCTGTCAGGTGCTGGCCTGACTTCCTGGTTCTGGGGAAAAGAGACTTCATTTCGCAGTCGGGTTCACGGAATCCAGGGCCTGAGAGGTGAGAAACTTGAGGTCCGACTGCGCCCCAGAACAGCTGGGTGACGTCCCTCCAAGCCTCAGGCTCTTCCTCAGGGCCGACGAACTTCTTGATTACCGGGGACCTACCCAAGTCTTTCTTCTGGAGTAAGCTCTGTCAAAGGAACCCACTTCCTCTCTAACTTTTCTCACGGATGATAAAGAGATTTCCGTTCCGCAGCCGACCCCAGCAACCCTGGGGCAGAGGTGCCGAGGCCTGGAAGCGGACCTCGGACGACGTTTGACCGAGGCATTAAGGCGGGGAATGCCTTACCTGCCCGGGCGCGGGCTGCTGAAGCCGGCGACAGAAGAACCAGCCGAACTAGGAAGCGCCGCGAAGGGGCGGGGCCTGCCGGGTTGGCCCCGCCCCACTTCCCCGATGGGCTTCATCTTGGCGCCTCCAGGCGGCTCCACAAAGTGAGAAACTCCACGTATTGCGTAGGGCGCGTCTTTACGTGGGCGCCTGCCCCTTTAATTACGCCCCTGTCGGAGGCTGAAACACTTAAGGCTTCCGGGCATGCGCACAGCGTTGTGCAAATGAATGCCTTCCACTGAACCGAGGTAGACGGGGTCGAGTTTCTTGCGCGATGGTGGGCTTGTATGTGTGTGTGTGTGTGTGTGTGTGGGGGGGGGGGGTGACGAGGTTGGCATTGAGGATCCATACCCTTTGCGCCCAAAGAAAGGTGACGTGGACTAGTGTCGTGCCTTTGGACAGGCAGAGTAAGAGGAGGGAGAAGAAACAGGTAGAGCTGCTGGCCTTGTCGGGGACACCTTTGGACGTGCTGGAGGGCAACGACGCCCTAGTTTTCTGTGAAGTTAAGTAGCTTCTGCAGGACTGGGTTCAGTATTTCTAGTACCTTCTCAGGATCCCTCCTCCGCCAACGAATTCCTCAACCACGGGCCAAGCAAACTACTCCCCCGCCCACTGTCAGCAGCAGTCTCTGTTGAATGGGAATACTGCACCTTCAGGCTTAACGCCACGTGGGCTCCTTTGCTGTCCTCCAGGTCAGTTCCACTCTTCTACCAGGATGCTGGAATTACATTCTCCCCAAGTTTCCCTACCTGTTTCACTTGCTTAGAATGTCTGTCTTCCTCCTTTTTTCTGGGAGAAAGAAAAGATCATTATTCTTTCAGGGCCAATCCCTACAGCTATGTTCTTGACCATGCTGTTTTGTTTTTGAACTCCTCTAACTGTTACTCCATCGGATACATCTTGCTCATTTCCATCAGAATCATCTTACAATTCCAAAAGCATGTTTTGGAATTGTGTCACTTTTCTACTCAAACACTAACAGTAGCCATCCATTGACCACCCAATAGATTCTAAGTCCTTGTCAGGGCATTCAACATCTTCCATAATCTGGTACTAACTCAGCTACATTTTCCAGCACTGTAGTCTCCCTGCATTCCCATCCCCACTGCTCTGTATCTGGACTGCTTGTTTTTCTTGCACACATTGCATGTTTTGTTTGTACATTACTTGTGAGGTCTCTGCCTCATTTCTATCTCTTGAACTATGGAGGACTTAGATGGCCACTTCTTGCATTATGCCTCTTCTAATTATCTTCCACTTCATTCCTACAGCTCTTATTTTGTACTAGTTATTTCATTTATTTAACAATAGTATTTATTGCAGACCTACCATGTGCTTGACACTGTTCAAAATGTGTGATCATCAGTAGTAAATAAGGCAGACAAGGTTACTCCTCACGTGGAACTAACATTCTCTTTGGAGGAGATATACAATAAATAATAAAGAAAAACTTTACCTAGAACTGCTATGCAGAAAATTAAATAGGGTTTTGTGAAAGAGAATCACTTGCTGGGCACGGTGGCTCACGCCTGTAACCCCAGCACTTTGGGAGGCCGAGGCGGGTGGATCACGAGGTCAGGAGTTCAAGACCACCCTGGCCAATATGGTGAAACCCCATCTCTACTAAAAAAATACAAGAATTAGCCGGGCGTGGTGGCGCGCCCCTGTGGTCCCAGCTACTCGGGAGGCTGAAGTAGGAGAATCGCTCGAACTCGGGAGGCGGAGGTTGCAGTGAGCCGAGATCATGCCACTGCACTCCAGCCTGGACGACAGAGTGAGACTTCGTCTCAAAAAAAAAGAGAATCACTTGCAGGTTCCTGTAGATTATTGGTCAGGAAAAACTTCTCTGAGGAAATGAATCCTAAAAGATGCAGCTATATGATTGGGGAGGGAACAATTTAAACAACAGGAACAGTTAGCACAAAACTATTGAAGAAGGCCAGAGTAGCTGGAGTATAGTGGGTAATGGGGTAAAGGTACAAATGAGTTTGGAGAATAAGCAGGGTCCCTAATCTTAGATGTCCTTGGAAGCCAGGGTGAGTAATTTGGATTTTATTGCAAATGTGACTAGAGGGTTTTAAACTGGATTGTGATATGATTTAATTTACCTTTTAAGACCATTCTGGCTGGTTTGTGGGCTAGTTATAGAAGCAGGAGTTAGGGACCTTCACAATATCTAAAAGTTTTTGGAATGGAAGTATTAAAGTTGGTGTGATAAAGGACATTGGGAGTCATAAGAATCAGATGCTTAAGGTTAATGCAGTTTTTGGAGATGAGAAAGTCAAAGTTATGACCGTGACAGTGGATGACCAAGATGAAGTAGAGGTGTGAGGTTGAGGTTGAGATTGAGGACTTGAGGGTCCAAGACATTGAATGGATGATCCATATAGATGATCATAAAAATCATGTTGGATAAGAAGGTAGTGAGCCAGAGATCAGTGAATGAAGCAGAGTTGTCTGGGGATCCGAGAGAGGATGACAGCAGATGGTAAAGCCCAATGGCAGGCTCTTCAAAAGAATTGGGGTTTTTGGAGGTAGTAGAGGAAGAAATGGCTTGCAACGAACAGTGACAAACATAGACCAATATTTACAGCCTCCAGGTCCTAAGGTAGATGGGTGGGAAAGAAAAAATAGCCTTTACTTGAGAGGACTGAAGAAGAAGCAGCCTGAAGAAATAGCCAGATTTCAATTAGGGCAAGAAAGTGAGGGAACTGTACAGGAAATTAAGTAATTAAGGAAAGTAAGTATATCTTATATATTCCTTAGGAAATTAGGATATGGAGAATTTGTAGTGATTTCTATATGGCATGATGGAAAGGATTGAGAAGGTGTGATTTGCTAAATTGGTTCAGATTAGTAGAATACATTATAGGTATGAGATGATGGTCCAGATGATGATAAGTTACTTGGAGAATGTGGGGGAAACACAGAACTCACTAGTATGGGGCCCCTGGGCAATTTATCTTTCCTGCAGCTCCATATGGTATGGTAGCCATGGGTTTGTGTGAAAAGTGAGAGATCAGAGTACTATTCTCTTGCATAGTGTTTCCAGGAAGCTCTGTAAGGGTTTCTTCTGTCTGATGCCAATGATATAGTTAGAACTTTCCTCTGGCTCAACCTTGAAAGCTTCTATTTGTCCTAATGGGGGCATTAGAGAAGGCCCAGGACTGACTTAATCCTACCTTGAAATATAATCAAATCACAAATTTGTATTTAGAACTTCATTTACCCATCAGTTTTCCTATTGTCTTTTTGTCACCTCTCCTGTCACTAACCACTAATAATATAAGAAAACTTAGCCACATGTTCTCTGGAATTAGCTGGAAATTTTAGGCTCCAGGAATGGAATTTGGACAAATCTTTGTTTTATAGTCCTGTGTTCTCACCTCTTCTTGTGAGCCTACAAATGATATTTTTAAGATAAAATTGACTCATTTTAATCCTGGATAATAGGTACAAATCTGGAGTGAGTGAAGATACAAGTTAACAAATCTTTAGCTATACCAGAAATAGTTTGCCTATTAATTCAGCTTGGTATAGGAGAGTCAAAGTACACAGGAAGTACATATAGTTATAAATTAAGTTAATGATACCATTTAAGAAGACTCAGAATTAAAAGAGAGACAGAATTAACTAAATCCTGCAAACCTATTCCTATTTGGTCATCCATAACTTCTCTTTCTGTTAACTAACCACCTCTTTGTTTTGTTTTCTAGGCACTGTTATAGAAGAATGGAAGAAGATACAGATTATAGAATCAGGTTTAGTTCTTTGTGTTTCTTTAATGATCACGTTGGATTTCATGGCACTATAAAAAGCTCACCAAGTGACTTTATTGTTATTGAAATTGATGAACAGGGACAGTTAGTTAATAAGACCATCGATGAGCCTATTTTCAAGATTAGTGAAATACAACTTGAGCCAAATAATTTTCCCAAAAAACCAAAACTAGATCTTCAAAATCTGTCCTTAGAAGATGGAAGAAACCAAGAAGTTCATACTTTGATTAAGTACACTGATGGTGACCAAAATCATCAGTCTGGTTCAGAAAAGGAAGATACTATCGTTGATGGAACTTCCAAATGTGAAGAAAAAGCTGATGTTTTAAGCTCCTTTTTGGATGAAAAAACTCATGAGTTACTGAATAATTTTGCCTGTGATGTAAGAGAGAAGTGGCTTTCTAAAACAGAGCTAATTGGACTACCTCCTGAATTCTCAATAGGCAGAATCCTTGACAAAAACCAGAGGGCTAGTTTACACAGTGCCATTAGGCAGAAATTTCCATTTTTAGTAACTGTAGGAAAAAACAGTGAAATTGTTGTAAAACCAAATCTTGAATATAAAGAACTTTGTCATTTGGTATCTGAAGAGGAAGCATTTGACTTTTTTAAATATTTGGATGCAAAGAAAGAAAATTCCAAATTTACCTTTAAACCTGATACAAACAAAGACCACAGAAAAGCTGTCCACCATTTTGTCAACAAAAAGTTTGGAAACCTTGTGGAAACCAAATCTTTTTCTAAAATGAATTGCAGTGCTGGTAATCCGAATGTGGTGGTAACAGTAAGATTTCGGGAAAAAGCACACAAACGTGGGAAAAGGCCTCTTTCTGAATGCCAAGAAGGAAAAGTTATATATACAGGTAATTTAATAAATCATCATCCATTTTCTTGGATAAGCTTAGCTAAATTTAAAATTGTGAAAATGAATTGAACAGACTTGGCTAGAGAGATTGGAAAGAATATATGATTTACCTTTAGGGAGAGGAATTGCTGATAAGCAATTTAAGCAACTCTAGGAATTCTTATTTATTCTGTTACTTACTAGAAGATGATAAAACCTTTTAAATTACACTGAATTTAAAAATTAGCCTTACTGATAACCTAGGCATTTATATTAGCCTATTCACAAATGTATAAAGTTGAAGCAGTTGGTTCGTGTTTAATAAGTTTTATTGAAGGTAAATCTTGATTTCATATTTTGGAAGTCATCTCAATTAAAATTAAGTTTTTAGAGACTAGAAGAATATATTTACTGTGCTTGGGAAAGTGAAGAGATACTCTGTAATCCAAAACAAATTATATTTCCCTACCCAAGGTAGGGAACCTGAAAACTTGGTCCTGCTGGTCTTTAGACAAGATGTTCTGAAACTTTAGCATGCATATAATCATCAAAAGTTCTTGTTAAAACAGATTTCAGAGCTCCATTCTCAGTTTCTGATTCTGGGGCTTTCACAGATTTCCAGGCAGTGTTTTTTCCTGGTCTGCTATGTTTTGAGAATCACTGTTTTAGGGTCTGTGTTTAATTCCCATGGTGGCTGGAACTGATGAACTCTCACTGTAAAAGTCCAGCTGACTAGGTTTAATTGGCCTCAATTCTACTTGAAGGATGGGAACTGTTTCAGATGATCATATTTAATAAATTTATTTAGCAAGATATTTTAAGATAAAACCAGGAACCTAAATTTGCACAGTGACACAGAAATAGGATGGTGCCATGTAGGGACTACAGGTGCAAATGAAAAGAGTTTGGACCTTGGAACTATGTGGGTTTGATTTGATATTATGACTTTTAGTTCACAAAAAGACTTATGAAATTTTTAACATGTTTAAGATTTGATTTCACAAATGTAAAAATGGGAAGAATAATACCTTGGGCAAGTTACTTAATAATTCATAACTTTTGGTTGTACTTGAAAAATAGGGTAATAGGAAAGCCTGACTCACAATGATATTCGAAGGATTAAATGAAATAATGAAATTGTTTACTATGTAATAGTTACTTAATATTAGGCATATAGTAAGTGTTAACAGATATATCCATTTTGAAGGAAAAACAATACTAGCTTTACTTGTAGAAAGAGGAATTGCTGGTGAGTGATTTAAGCAGCTCTAGGAATTCTTATTTATCTTATACTACTTGAAATTCTAACAATATTAATTTGGGTTAATGAGTAAAAAAATTATAGAACTTTATATATTAGTTTAAATTCACTTTTCTAAAGTTGTGAATAGTTGGAGGCATATGTTAAAAGGAGGAATGATGGTTCAAAAAACCTTTTATTTTTAATTTTAAATTACATTAAAATATACATAACATAAAATGTACCATCTTAACCATTTTTAAGTATCAGTGGCATTGAGGACAGTCACATGGTTGTACATCCCTCACCACCATTCATCTCCAGAATTTTTTCACCATCCCAAACTAAAACTCCATATTTATTAAACAATTCTTCCTCCTCTCCAGTTCTGAAAAATGGGAACCACCATTTTTCATTCTGTCTCTATGGATTAGACAACTCTAGGTGTCTCATATAAGTGGAATCATACAGTATTTGTCTTTTTGTAATGGGCTTATTTCACTTAGTATGTTGTCGAGATTCATCTATGTTGTAGCATGTGTTAGAATTTCCTTCCCTTTTAAGGCTGAATAATACCCCATGGTAGGTGTATGCCACATTTTGCTTACCCATTTGTCTGCCAGTGGATGGGATATAATGGTCAGTAAAGCACACGTGATATTTACTTTGTAAGCATTCAGCCTTGGAACTTGGAAAGAATTTGAGGGAGAATGTGGATGTGAGGTGACTTCTGAGGCTAGGTCATAAAAGTATTACACTTCTTGTCATGTTCTTGGATTGCTCACTCTGGGGAAAGCCAGCTGCTATGCTGTGAGGATACTCAAAACAGCCCTTTGGACAGGAACTAGAGCTTCATGCCAACAGCCAGTACCAACCTTCCAGCCACGTAAATGAGCCCCTTTGGGAATGGATCCTCCAGTTTCTTTCAGGCTTTTAAATAACTGCAGCCCATCAGAGTGAACAGGCAACCTACAGAATGGAAGAAAATTTTTGCAATCTACTCATCTGACAAAGGGCTAATATCCAGAATCTACAAAGAACTCAAACAAATTTACAAGAAAAAAACAACCCCATCAAAAAGTGGGCAAAGGATATGAACAGACACTTCTCAAAAGCAGACATTTATGCAGCCAACAGACACATGAAAAAATGCTCATCATCACTGGCCATCAGAGAAATGCAAATCAAAACCACAATGAGATATCATCTCACACCAGTTAGAATGGCGATCATTAAAAAGTCAGGAAACAGGTGACAGGTGCTAGAGAGGATGTGGAGAAATAGGAACACTTTTACACTGTTGGTGGGACTGTAAACTAGTTCAACCATTGTGGAAGACAGTGTGGCAATTCCTCAGGGATCTAGAACTAGAAATACCATTTGACCCAGCCATACCATTACTGGGTATATACCCAAAGGATTATAAATCATGCTGCTATAAAGACACATGCACACGTATGTTTATTGCAGCACTACTCAGAATAGCAAAGACTTGGAACCAACCCAAATGTCCAACAACGATAGACTGGATTAAGAAAATGTGGCACATACACACCATGGAATACTATGCAGCCATAAAAAATGATGAGTTCATGTCCTTTGTAGGGACGTGGATGAAGCTGGAAACCATCATTCTCAGCAAACTATCGCAAGGACAAAAAACCAAACACTGCATGTTCTCACTCATAGGTGGGAATTGAACAATGAGAACACCTGGACACCGGAAGGGGAACGTCACACACTGGGTCCTGTTGTGGAGTGGGGGGAGGGGGGAGGGATAGCCTTAGGAGATATACTTAATGTAAATGACAAGTTAATGGTTGCAGCACACCAACATGGCACATGTATACATATGTAACAAACCTGCATGTTGTGCACATGTACCCTAGAACTTAAAGTATAATAATATATATATATAAATTAAAAATAAATAAATAAATAACTGCAGCCCTAGCCACATCTAACTGCATGCAACCTCAGGAGAGCCTGAACTGGAACCACCAAACCAAAGAGTTCTTGAAGTCCTGATCCACAGAAACTACAGGAGATAAATGAATATTGTAAGCCACTAAGATTTGAAGTGACTTGTTACGCAACAATAAATAATACATAGCATTTAACCGTAGACATGCATAAATTACTGATCAGCAACAAACTCAAGGAACGATTTATGTAGATTTCTGGAACTTCTTCTCTACAAAGCTTTGTCTTATCAGGTACTCTCCCTGTGAATTCCAGCCCACTCAGCCTTCCTGAATTCCAATATCTACCCTCCTAACTCAGCAAAACTCCTGTGCTCTACCTGGATTCTGTCTGTGCTATGTTCCAGAATGTACTTCTAGGCAGAAAATTAGAGTATTTTAGGATTCCCCTCATTTGTTTTTCTTTTCTTTTAGATTACAGTTTTGTGGTACCTATTTGCCAGTCTCTAAAGATGGCTGTTTCATATGTTTTGTTCAGTGTTCTATTTGTTTACAGTGGGAGGTCATCTGGTGTCAGTTATTCCAACAGGGCTCAAAGTGGAAGTCTCTAAAATTGAATTTTAAAATTCAGTGTAATTGACTTTGTTTTTAAATATGTAATTGTTCTAAGTAATTAAGAAAATGTTATAAATCTTATACATTAAACTTATAAATTTAGTGACCCTTAAGATTTTGTAAATGTTCCCATATTGCTTACTAACTTAAATAAGATTCAATGTAAAAAGACAAATTAAATCAATTAAATATTTTAAATTGGAACTACAAGTTTCATTCTCTTAAACATTCAAGTGCATAAACTTTTATGTAGATACAGATTAATATTAATACAATATCATGGATTTGATTTTGTTAAATATATTTCTATACTAAATTCTAAATCTTTATGGGTGAAAAAATGCTTATCCACCTAGGCTAGTATCAGCAACAAACTGATAAACAAGCTGGGGATTTCTTTTAAATTGCTGAGCTTTTTGAATGACATGTCCAAAATTGTTAGGGCGAATGGCTGCTGCTGTTGGACCTTCAAGAATGCATAGAAGTAAGACAAATAATAAATGGAAGGAACACATTTTATTTTTTAATTTTTATGTTAGTTTCAGGGGGTACATGTGCAGGTTTGTTACAAGGGTATATTGTGTGATGCTGAGATTTGGGGTACGATGGAACCCATCACCCAGGTAGTGAGCATAGTACCCAACAGGTAGTTTTTCAGCCTTATGCCCTTCCTCCCTCCTACCTCTTATAGACCCCAGTGTCTATTGTTTCCATTTTTATGTCTATGTGTACCCAGTGTTTAGCTCCTACTTATAAGTGAGAACATGAGGTGTTTGGTTTTCTGTTCCTTTGTTAATTCACTTAGGATAACGGCCTTTAGCTGCATCCATGTTGCTGCAAAGGGCATGATTTTCTTTTTAGTGGCTGTGTAGTATTTCATGGTGTATATGTACCACCTTTTTTTCTTTGAGACAGGGTCTCGCTCTTTCACCCAGGCTGGAGTGCAGTGGCACCATCGTGGCTTGCTACAGCCTCGACCTCCTAGGATCAAGCAGTCGTCCCACCTCAGCCTCCTGGGTAGCTGTGACCATAGGTGTTTGCTAACTTTTTAATTTTTTGTAGAGATGGGGTCTCCATATGTTGCCCAGCCTGGTCTTAGATTGTTTGCTCTTGAAATCCTTCTGCCTCAGCCTCCCAGAGTGCCGAGATTACAGGCATGATCCACAGTACCCAGCTACATTTTCTTTATCAGATCCACTGTTGTTGGGCACGTAGGTTGATTCCATGTCTTCGGTATTCTGAATAGCGCTGCAATGAACATACAAGGGGAACACATGTTTTAGACAGAGGACTTAAATGTACGAAAGTACAAAACTGTTGAAGGCTCTAGTTAATCCAGGGATTACAAGAAGTTCTCTGTGGCAGGGTTACAGGATATGTGAAGGGAAGTGGTGCACTTGGAGACAGGAAAAGTGGATTTGGCCAGATATGAATACCAAATTAAGGAATTTGGAATTTTTTGCCTGTAAGCCTTCAATGAGCCAACCAGCAGTTTAAAAATAACAGCTGAAATCTATCATGCTGATTTTATATTTTCATTAAAAAGTACTCCTTACGGCTGGGCATGGTGGCTGACGCCTGTAATCCCAGCACTTTGGGAGGCCGAGGCAGGTGGATCACGAGGCCAAGAGATCGAGACCATCCTGGCCAAAGTGGTGAAACCCCATCCCTGCTAAAAATACAAAAATTAGCTGGGCGTGGTGGTGTGTACCTGTAGTCCCAGGTACTCAGGAGGCTGAGGCAGGAGAATCACTGGAACCCGGGAGGCAGAGGTTGCAGTGAGCCTAGATTGCGCCACTGCACTGCAGCCTGGTGACAGAGTGACACTCCATCACAAAACAACAACAACAACAACAACAAAACTCCTTAGATTAATAGTTTGATTTATTATACTAATCTGTTAGCTAAGAATGTAATTGATGTATGGTAGCTGCTTTTTTTGTGATCTAAGTTTTTTTTTTGTTTCAGCTTTTACCCTACGAAAGGAAAACCTGGAAATGTTTGAAGCGATTGGTTTTTTAGCTATCAAACTTGGTGTTATTCCTTCGGATTTTAGTTATGCAGGCCTTAAAGACAAGAAAGCCATCACCTATCAAGCAATGGTTGTTAGAAAAGTGACTCCAGAGAGGTAATAAGATATTAAGAAATTTTAGGATAGAAACTTTGAGAAGTGGAAGATTTAAATTGTCTAAATGGTTTCTAAACATCCTGTACTGCATTCAAATATGCATTTATATTCAGAAAAGTGTCTCATAAATCATGTTTTCCTAATTAATTATATTATGCCTTTATTATCGTGGATCCTTACATTTAAAAAAAATCCTCGTGAAATAGAATGTAAAGTACTCAAATTTAGCCTCCGTCAGCTTAATCAAATTTTACAAATTTTTTTGTTACTGTAAAAGACATATATTTATTATAGAAAATAGAAAAAAGTTTTTTAAAAATGAAGTTACCGGTAAGCCTACTACTCAGAAATAACTGCAATAGGCTGGGCACGGTGGCTTACGCCTATAATCACAGTACTTTGAGAGACTGAGGCAGGCGGATCACTTGAGGTTAGGAGTTCGAGACCAGCCTGGCCAACATGGTGAAACCCCATCTCTACCAAAAATATAAAAAATTAGCTGGATGTGATGGCGTGCGCCTGTAATCCCAGCTACTTGGGAGGCTGAGGCAGGAGAATTGCTTGAATAGGGAGGTGGGAGTTGCAGTGAGCAGGGATCATGCAACTGCACTCCAGCCTGGGCGACAGAGCGAGACTCCGTCTCAAAAAAATAAACAAAAGTAAATAACTGCAATAACATTTTTCTCTGTTTCTCTCTAGACCTTTTTCAGAGACTACATCACACAAAAACTTTTTTTTATTATTTATTATTTTTTTGAGACGGATTTTTGCCCTTGTTGCCCAGGCTGGAGTGCAACACGCAATCTTGGCTCACTGCAATCTCTACCTCCCAAGTTCAAGCGATTCTCCTGCCTCAGTCTCCCGAGTAGCTGGGATTACAGGCGCCCACCACCATGCCTGGCTAATTTTTGAATTTTTAGTAGAGATGGGGTTTCACCATGTTGGCCAGGCTGGTCTCGAACTCCTGACTTCAGATGATCCACCCGCCTCAGCCTCCCAAAGTGCTGGGATTACAGGCATAAGCCACTGCACCCAGCCAACATTTATTATATATATGAAAATCATACTGCATATACAGTTTATATTTTGCTTTATAAAATAAAATAATATTGTTAGATGAAAATTTATGTCATGAAATAAATTATGTCTATCATATAGACTAATTTGTTTAACATTCCCTGTTTTTGAAAATGGAAATTCTTTCCAGCTTTTCACTGTAAATAATACCATGAGTAATATTCTTATACTTAAATCTGTAACTTATAATTTCCTTAAGATAAACTTCAAAATGTGAATGATTGGGTCAAAATTCAGCCTAATTAACGTAATATCGATATATTAATTCTTAGTTAACGCATGTTTAAGTATCCACTATGTGCAAGTAGACTCTTCTGAGTGCTTCTAAGCTCTTATATGGGGGACAAAAAAGGTGTTTGATTTTGCTTTTGTGGTCAAGAAGTGCAGGATAGTGCAGAAAGAAGAACTTTAGATGTTAAAGTGTATTTAAGATGAAAGCTCCCCTCTAAGGAAGAGAGATTACTTTAATTTAGCTTATGAGTCTGGAATTTTAATTACACTTCAAGTAATAGTAAGATTTTAGCAGACGCAAAAAACTAGAGATACATTTGCGGGCAGTAAACTCAATAGTCTGTCACGTATATAATTCCTATAAGGACTGTGGAAAATATGGCTATAAAGGAAATTTTAAATCAGCCCTTATAGGGTCATACAAGTTACTCTAAAAATATTGAAGATATTAATTCTTTAGGTGTTGGGAAGAATTGAAAGTTTGAGTAAGGAAGTGGTCAGAGCAGAATTTCAGGAAAATCCTCTGGTGCTAGTGATTTTTCTTGGTAATGTTGGGTAAAGAGACTGAGAAGGAAAGGAGCAGAGTTGGGGACAGGAAGATCAGGAGAACTGCTAGGAGCTTCTGTCACTCGAGCTAAGGAGAAGTCAGAAGGCCTACACTGGAAGAGTGATAACATTAGTAATATATGTTCAAGTTTTTAAAATAGTTCTGTTAATGCAATCCTATAATAATGGGTATTAAGCACACATTTGGTGAAATAACATTAACTTTAGAATATTCTTAAAAAATTGTATTAGTATTCTCATATAAGGGGTTGCTTGGCAACTGCCACTTAAAACCTTATTTTAAAGTAATTTTTAAATGTAAAATTTAACTGAGTTTATATGATTTATTACTTACAGGTTGAAAAATATTGAAAAAGAAATTGAAAAGAAAAGAATGAATGTCTTTAATATTCGGTCTGTAGATGATTCCCTGAGACTTGGTCAGCTCAAAGGAAATCACTTTGATATTGTCATTAGAAATTTAAAAAAACAAATAAATGATTCTGCAAACCTGAGGGAGAGAATTATGGAAGCAATAGAAAATGTTAAGGTAAGAAAACTTAATTTTAAAAGGCATCCAGGGAAATCTTCATTGTCTCTTTCTCTACACTGAGGCAAGAGGGGAAACTTCTTTTTCTTTTGTACCTTTTTATGGGATTTTTAAAAGTGATTAATTATTTTCTAAAGTGATAATTAGGGCCATTTGGCTTATATTTTATTTTCAGCTTAATACATTTTTGTATTTAAACAAAACAAAATATGTAAACATGATTTTAAAAATGCAGGATATGGTGTCCTCCAGAGAAGAGGGGACAATCTACATTCATAAGAGAGATTTTTTTTAAGCATCTGCTATATAGAGTAGTATTTAGTCAGGGGAATTTATTGTTTGGAAATTTTGATGTATACACATTATAAATCACACACACTGTATTAGTCCATTCTCACACTGCTAGTAAGGACATACCTGAGACTGGTTGATTTATGAAGGAAAGAGGTTTAGTTGACTCACAGTTCAGCATGGCTGGGGATGCCTCAGGAAATTCATAATCATGGTGGAAAGGGAAACAAACATATCCTTCTTCCCATGGTGGCAGGAAGGAGAAGTGCCAGGCAAAGGAGGAAAAGCCCCTTATAAAACCATCAAATATTGTGAGAACTCACTCGCTATCATGAGAATAGCATGGGAGTAACAACCTCTATGATTCAATCCCACTGGGTCTCTCCCATGACAAGTGGGGATTATGGAAACTACAATTCAAGATGAGATTTGGGTGGGGACACAGCCAAACATATCATAAACTTTATGTTTTACAGTAAAAAATTACTTAGCATAAGTTTCTAAATGACATTTTCCCGACATTTAAATGTGCACATACAACTATAGTTTTCAAGACTAGACCATCTTAGATCATCTAGACATCAGCAAACTTTATACTGTAAAGGGCCAGATAATAAAATTTTTGACCTTTTAGACATATGGTTCCTCTTGCAACTAATCTACTGCCATTGTATGGAAGCAGCCACAGACAATATATAAGTGAATGAACATGGCTGTGTTCCAATAAAACTTTATTTACAAAAACAGGTGTTGGACCAGGTTTCATTTGTGGGCTATAGTAGTTTGCTAACCCCTGATCTAGATGAGTAGTTCTCAACCTGAGGAGCTTTCAAAAAATTTCACCCATTGATATCTACTCCTGAACCAATTAAAAAAGAACATTTGGGGATGCAGGTTAGGCATTAGTACTTATTTTTGAAAAACTTCTTAGGTGACTGTACTTTAGAGCCAATACCGAGAAACACTGATTCAAGTTTCTCACCACAAAGACCTTTTTACACAATTTTATACCTGTCCAACAGGAAAACAAACAAAAACTGGTTATTAATCTGCCTTGTAGTTAGGAAAATATCTTCCAACTAAAGATCTTTTAAATCCAGCACTTTCATCTGTATATGGAAGTTATCTGATTATATACTCTTTATATGTTTTGTTAGTCCATTCTCATGCTGCTATGAAGAAATACCCGAGACTGGGCAATTTATGAAGAAAAGTGCTTTAATTAACTCACAGTTCCGTATAGGTGGGGAGGCCTCAGGAAACTTACAATCATGGCAGAAGGCACCTCTTCACAGGGTGACAGGAGAGAGAATGAATGCCAGCAGGGGAAATGCCAGACACTTGTAAAACCATCAGATCTCGTGAGAACTCACTATCGTGAGAACTCACTCTCATGAGAACAGCATGGGGTAAAACCGACCCCATAATTCAATTACTTCCCACCGG
This sequence comes from Homo sapiens, assembly GCF_000001405.40. Classification (NCBI taxonomy): domain Eukaryota; kingdom Metazoa; phylum Chordata; class Mammalia; order Primates; family Hominidae; genus Homo; species Homo sapiens. Next base: position 43,744,308 of record NC_000012.12, on the reverse strand, counting down.
GTCCTTCCCATGACATGTGGGAATTGTGGGGATTACAATTCAAGATGAAATTTGGTGAGGACACAGCCAAACCATATCATATGTTGTTTTACCTTCGTTTTCCTTGACCCACCTAAAATTCTACTTTTTTTTCCTCAAAAACTGTTACTAAAATGATATACTTTAAAAAGGTAGAAGTTTCTTTGAACTCTGGTAGCATTTATTCCCTGTCTTTCATTTGTTATTTATGAACATACAGCTGCCTATTACAAAATTCCCATTAGAAACAATCTTAGTTTTAGCCAACTTCCATTAGTTCTTATGATGTGAGAAAGGAATTGAGAAACCCTGAAAATAAGGAGTCTTTGAAGTTTTGTTTCAAGGGGTTATATCTCTGTTATAAACCTTTTGTTATATCTAAGTACTTTGAAGGGTTAATTTAAAACTCTTCTGGTTACTCTAGGACGTCATCTTATGTTATTTTTTCAAATTTGAAATAACTAAAAATATTTATGAGATTTAATTCAGGGAGTACTTATTCTATCTGTAATTAATTTTTTTTTTTTTGAGACGGAGTCTCGCTCTGTCACCCAGGCTGGAGTGCAGTGGCACGATCTCGGCTCACTGCAAGCACCCCCTCCCGGGTTCACGCCATTCTCCTGCCCCAGCCTCCTGAGTAGCTGGGACTACAGGTGCCCGCCACCACGCCCAGCTAATTTTTTGTATTTTTAGTAGAGACAGGGTTTCACCATGTTAGCCAGGATGGTCTCCATCTCCTGAGCTCGTGATCCGCCGGCCTTGGCCTCCCAAAGTGCTGGGATTACAGGTGTGAGCCACTGAGCCTGGCCTGCAATTAATTTTTTAAATGACATGAGATAAAGATGCAATTGCTTTTGTACCATGCTGATAACAAATTGGCTCCGCATCTTTTATTAAAAAGTTCTTGAGTTGGTATTCAATAATAATTGTTGACTGAATAAATGCATACTCTCCTCATAAAGTAAGTGTGGAGGACTCTTGTCTTTCAAGAAACTGTCTGGGCCTGGTGTTTTCTTTGTGAGCACATGTTTAATGACTGACCAATTTCTTTAATGGTTGCGGTAGTATGTTACAGTTTTCCATTTCTTCTGAGTAATGTGACAGTTTTAAAACATGGCCTGTATGGTTCACCTCCAGCAGGAAGTGAAGTCTGTATTCTTCCCCTGGAATACAGACTGTTCCAGGTGCTGGAATAGCTGGACCGGTAGAGTACTGCTGAAGTGGCTCCATTGTCTCAGGTCAGCCTTTAAGAAACTGAGATGAACTAAAGAACGAACGTTATGTAGAAAAGAGCCAGGATATGTGGGGTTTGAAAGTGAGCCTGTTCTTGACTCCCGACATCTCCAGACAGCCGAAGAGTCTCAAAATAAGAAAGAGCATCAGAGTAGGGATCAGATCTTGGTACTAGGTGATCAACTCATTTTGGAAGCCCAGAACTTTTCTGGCTTTAACACTGAAAATCTCACATCCCAGGAAATCCCTCAGTAACATGAATGGAAAGCTGACGTATTTTTAAAGTTTTCTTCATTGGTTTTATGTTCTAACTTCTAATTCTGTGTTTTCTTTCCTTTTCTTTAATTTACAGCATTTTTCAGACCATTTGGTCCCTATGTGTATACTGCTGATTACAGAGTTATTCTGTTAAAATAATTATGAAGAGAAAAATTCAATTGTGTATTTTGACACATAATTGTATTTATATACTCTTAATTTGTTGATTATTTTGTATACATAGAAAAAAGGCTTTGTGAATTACTATGGACCACAGAGATTTGGGAAGGGAAGGAAAGTTCACACAGACCAAATTGGACTAGCTTTGCTGAAGAATGAAATGGTATGGATTTTGAAAAATGTAATCTTATCTGTTTCTGTCAATTATACTTACTACATAACCCAGCTCCTTGCTTTCTTAACTCTAGCATATAAATGCATGTAAACACTCACATACCAAATATATTACATTACTGAACATTTAGTAAGCTGCTGCTCTGTCCTTGATATCACATTACAAGAAAGCCAACAGTGTGAGTGTCCTTGTGGTTAGTACATATTTGAGATTTGACACAGAAATGACCATCACTTTCCAATTTTAGTGAACTGAATAGAAGATTTAGAGGAAATTTTGATCCTACAATCCCAGAAATCAGATATCAGATCATATAAAAGATAGGAATCCACATAAGTCCAGAGACTAAAAGGGGAGCAGTAAATTTGAAAACAAAATCTGACTAGTTCAAAATGAAGCTAAAAATTCATGTTACAACTAAGAAGCTGCATTTGCTGAAATATTAAAAGCGTATGTGTGTATATCTGCTTTTAATTTATATTTTTTATATGTAATTACATATTTTTACACTAAAATGGAGTGCACATAATGGAGGAAAACTATAAAACTATAAAAATTATATATTTGAACAAATGCAAGATTATTCTTATGATAGTATCTCGTTCACTCACCTGTGTTCTAATATGATTTCTTGAGTGGAAGAGAAAGAAACAGTAAAAGATTTTGTGAGAAGCGTAGTGCATTGAACATCATCTTACATATCAAATAATGTTCAGAGCTGATGATTTAGACCACATCTGCAAATCTATAATTAGTTCTGGGTTTCACATTTCAAAGGAGATTTTAGCAACTGGAATATAACTGATATAATAAAGAGTCTAGAAATGTTTACCTCAGCAGTGGTTCTTCAGTCTAGAAAACTCTGAAAATTAACTTGTAAAATGTTTAAAATTTTGTCATACAGAAGAAGAACTTAATAGTTTGGGGCCTGTTGGATGCAGCAGATGTTCTACTTGAGTTCTGCCATTTGTCACATGTGTTACTATAGGTACTTAACTTTTCCAAGTTGCTTAACTTTTCCAAGCCTCAGTTTCCTTATCTGTAAAATGGAGATAGCATGTATGTCACAAGATTTTTCTGAGAATCAAATGAAAGAACTTTTGTGAAGGCAGCTAGTACAGTGCCAGACAAGTGTCCATAGATGGAATGGGCTAGATATTTAAGGGACTTGTAGTCCAGCATAAGAAAGACTTTTTCTTAACAATTGTTCAAATAACTGGAATGTCCTGTTTCTCATAACATTTAAGCAAAAGCTGGATGGCTACCCCTCTACCTCTTTCAAACCTCATATTACATGCTCTTGAATTTTTAAAAAATTTTGCTTTAGTAGTAATAATCAATTATTGCTGTGTAACAAATTACCCCAAAACGTGGTGGTTGAAGACAACAAGCATTTATTATCTCAGTTTCTGAGAGTCAGGAATTTGGGAGCAGCTTAGCTGAGTGGCTCTGGATCAGGGTTTCTTGTGAGGCTGCAGTCACACAATTGGCCCGGATGTGTAGTCTCTGAAGACTTGACCAGGATGGAGGATCTGCTTCCAAGCTCATGCTCGTGGTTGTTGGCAGACTTTATTTTCTTGCTTAAAACTATTTGTGGCATGGCTTCTCCTAGAGAGATAAGTCCAAGGATGCAAAGGAGAGAGAGAGAGACAACAGATACCACAGTGTCTTTTATAACCTAGTCTCAGAAGTGGCATACTTTCACTTCTTCTGTCTTCTGGCCACAGAGACCAACCCTGATAAGTGTGGGAGAGGACTACTCCATGTGTGAAGACCAAGTGATGGAGAGCATTGGGGGCCATCTTAGAGGCTGGTTCCTGCAGCTAAAAAACTATATCTTCTTTCCTTTGCCTGAAGCACCCCCTCCCCAACCTGTATATTCTTTAGGTCTCAGTTTAAATATTCTCATTCTACTCCCCAAGAAAAAGTGAATTCCTCTTATTTTGTGATCCTGAATCATCTTGGGCTTCCCATCTTAAGTTTTATTATATTTTATTGTTATTGCTTATTTAATTTTGTCAGTAGGCAGAAAGTTTTAGTTGAACAGAGACCATGACTCTTTTACTCAATGCTCTGTCCCTAATACCCTATGCAGTACCTAGCATGTGGCAGATACCTAATAATATTTGTTTGAATAAATGAATGCTGTAAAAGAAAATTGAGTGGGAAATTGGGTCAAATGACCTATTTAAGATCCTTTCCTACTCTAAGACACGTGCTTTAGAAATAAATCCCAGTGCTAAAGACAGTGATAAAATACATAAACTAGTAGATATTATTTTTTAAAAAAGGAACATCTTTTAATCATTTAGGATTTAAAATATTAAATTTGGCAACTTTTTCATTAAGATTTTGGCAATTATTTTTAAGTCCAAAGAATTTAGGAAATTGAGGGCACAAATGAAATTAAGGGCTTGCCATTCCCCTCTGCTTGCTACTTTCCTATTTTTGTCATGTGTGTTGGTCCAGTCTGAAATGTATGCCATTATTTTACCCTTGTGTTCTTGGCTCAATAATAGAGATAAAGGATGACAGAACTCTAGGTTGTCTGTCAATTGCCAATGACAATAGAATTTATACTGTGTACTTACTTTGATAGTACTCTCAATATAACCTCTTCTCCAATTTTATGTCTCTCTTTATCTTTTGTCTTATGAATCCTTTTTAGTTTTAAGGGAGAACCATCTTTTATATTTCCAGCATCCTTTTGTTCTTCAAGGACTTCTAAGTCTTGAGAAATAAAAAAGCCAGTTATTTGTGCTGAGGCAGGAGGATCATAACGTCAGGAGTTCGAGACCAGCCTGGCCAATATGGTAAAGACTGTCTCTACTAAAAATACAAAAATCAGCCGGGCGTGGTGGTGGGCGCCTGTAGTCCCAGCTACTCAGGAGGCTGAGGCAAGAGAATAGGTTGAACCCGGGAGGCAGAGGTTGCAGTGAGCCAAGATCGCGCCACTGCACTCCAGCTTGGGTGACAGAGCGAGACTCCGTCTCAAAAAAACAAACAAAAAAGATATTTGTGGCTGTGAAATGGGTGAAACATAACTTTAATTCATTTAATCCTAACCTGAAAGTTATAGCTGTGTTTTCTTTGGAAACTTCTGAGGCTTCTTTTTTTAATGTTGTCTTTCTGAGTGATTTTCTTTACTTTTGCTCTGGGAGCGAGGCATTCTACATCTTCAGAGCTACTTCTTTTCTTCTTCCCTTTTTTGACTCAGGTAAGTTGGATACTTAAAATCTTTCTTGCTTTTTTGTTTTTCTTTGAGGGTTGCTTTTGGAGTTCACTAGTTTCTACTTCTGAGCCCTCAGAGTGGTTCTTGATCTTTCACTTTACAGCTGCTTGCATTTCTTGTGTCCATATTTAACTCTTTGATCTGGACATTGTCTTCCTTTTTCATTTGCCCTATTTTTTTTTCTTTTTTCTTCTGTAACAATACAAACATTGGTTTAATTTTACTTCTACTCCAGCCATTTAAATATTAAATATTTTCAAACACATCTATTTAAATATTAAAGAACTATTTAATATTTATTTTTAGGCCAGAAGGGGCTCAGTTTTCACTGTCTTAGGAAATATGCTAGGTTTTCTTGGTGCTTCTTCTGGTGGGTTGTTAAGAACCTGAAATGACTGCAAAAAAGTTTTACTATTTATAATACTTGCTAATTTTTTTGCTTTTGGAAACAGTTTAAAAATAAGGGTTTAATACATTTAGCCTAAGCTTTTCAGAATTCTTACACCTTACTAAGAATGTCAATACATTTTAACTTTAATATTTAAAAAAAATGACAAAAGTAGAATTATGGAAGTGATAGGGAAATACTTTTTTCAGTCCATAATATTTTAAACCTATATATAAAATTATTTCATGCAGAAGGCTTATTTCTACATTTAACATTGTCTGTTTAATTTTTGCAAGCCTAAAGAGAAAATTGCAGCATCAAGTATAATTATTAAATCCCTATTCTTTTAGGATGCTAGAGAATTTGCATCTTTTTTTAAAGAAAGTAATTTGACATTTTCATTAACACATGTTTACCTGCTTGATTTTTTAAGATGAAAGCCATAAAATTGTTTCTTACACCAGAAGACTTGGATGATCCTGTAAATAGAGCAAAGAAGTATTTTCTTCAAACTGGTATTTACGTTTCTTTATCCTGTACATAACCATGCAGATACAGATACACACTATAAATGTTTTATCAGCAGGAGAGCATTTATTGTAACATAAATGTGATAAGAAATAAATTATAGTATATTACATACTGAACACTTTTATTACATGACTTAGGCACTCACTTCGTTTTTGGTCAGATTTGGAAGTTTTTTTGTCTATGCTAAGTCTTGTCTAGGGGTAGGGGCAATGGGAGAAATAGTTTCTTAGTTTTTCTTGGCTGAAATCCTCTGAGAGAGAGTTCCAAATTCGAATCTGGCACTGATGACAATAATTAATTGCAGCTGGGGGAGATACAAACACAAATAAATAAAAGTTCATTTATGATATTCCAAACTTTACACATTATTCTCATTCTAGCTGCCAATTAGCCCTGTCAATTTTTAAAACGTTAGGTCAGTATGATGGAATACATATAGAATGCTTGATGAAAACCACTAAGGAAAAGTGGTTATGAGTATGGCTTGAGTCAGACTGCATGGGGTTAACTCTCAACTTTAATACTTCCCAACTGTATGATTTTGTGCAAGTGATTTGACATCATTGTGTTAGTTTCCTTATCTGTAAATTGAAGCAAATCACAGTACCTAAAAGAGTATTATGAGATTTAGATATGCCCTTGGAATAATGCCTTGCGTGTACTACACAGAGATAAATATTACCTTTATTTAAATAATATTATTTATAATATTATAAATATTACCTTTATTTAAATAATAAAAACAGCAAGCACACCATTTCAGATTCATTCAGATATCTGACCGACATACTGAATTTCACTTATATTGAAATAAAGGATGTCAGTTTTCAAATATTTATTTATTATTTTTAATTATGTACATATTACATATGTGCAGCTATTCGCAGGAAAGTAGTATTTTTGTGCCATACCACAATGTGTAAACAGTGTGGACACTTCTAACTCTTATGAGTAATTTAAGTAATAATAAGGAAAATTCAAAGTGACTTGTTTATGTCTGTTATAGAGTCCCGAGATGATAATTTCCTTATGGCAATGATTCTTAAACATTCATATGCATAAGAAACACCTGGTACATCTATTTCAATGCCAATTCCAAGGCCATACGTGAATAAGCATCTTTGTGGTAGATTCCAGTCATCTACATTTCAAAGTGCATTTGTGAGGCATAATAGTGTGCCTGAAGGCTCCAGATCTCAACCCTTTCTTAGTAAAAAAATTCTGTGTTTATGTCCAGAATAGCTCTTTAAAAAACTCAAGCCTCTGCTAGCTCAGCAATTAAATTATTTAATCCTTTAGGTTTTTTGTTTGTTTGTTTGATTTTGTTTTAACAGTCCTGTGAATAACTTCATTAGATTATCTCTATTCTGAAGTAAGGGACTTTAGTAAGCTGTTACTAATGTTGGATTCTTGGCTTTTTTTTTTTTTAATAGCAGGGAAAGTGAAAGTAGGGCCATATTATGCTTATTATTTTTTTTAAAGCTCTTCAAGTGTAGCTAGGTTTAACTGAAAGTGTTGAATATCATCTTAATACCCATGTTCATTGCCTCAGTTTGAGATTAGAACAAAAGCCTTTATAACTGGCCTTTAAATAAAAGTGGCTAACTATACCTGATTTACCCTTTGTTTCAGAGGATGCTAAAGGCACACTTTCATTGATGCCTGAATTCAAAGTGCGTGAGAGAGCATTGTTGGAGGCATTGCACCGCTTTGGCATGACCGAGGAAGGTTGTATCCAGGCATGGTTCTCTTTACCCCATTCCATGCGCATATTCTATGTTCACGCATATACCAGCAAAATTTGGAATGAGGCAGTATCTTACAGACTTGAAACCTATGGAGCAAGAGTAGTGCAGGGTGATTTGGTCTGTTTGGATGAAGACATTGATGACGAGAATTTCCCAAATAGTAAAGTAAGTATCATTCCATCAGAGTTTTCCAAGAGTAGTTACTATACCAGAACATGAATTTTTCAAAAGCCCTGATTATAGAAACACTTTAAACATACATGTAATTTATTTATCTATTTGTACTTATATTTACTCATCTCCTGCTTCAAGTCTGCTGTCAGTTTAGGCTTAACACATGTTGGTAAATGGAAAGATAAAAATAGTGGTATGGAGTGAAAGATATATAGGTAGTAAAGCTTCCTTTAAAAAACCCATTTTAAAAAAGATTACACAAATAATGCACAAAACAGCCCATAAAAATAAAAATCAAGGCCAGGCGTGGTGGCTCACACCTGTAATCCCAGCACTTTGGGAAGCTGAGGTGGGCGGATCACGAGGTCAGGAGTTTGAGACCAGCCTGACCAACATGGTGAAGCCCCATCTCTACTAAAATACAAAAATTAGCCAGGTGTGGTAGCGCACGCCTGTAATCCCAGCTACTCAGGAGGCTGAGGCAGGAGAATCTCTTGAACCTGGGAGGCGGAGGTCACAGTGAGCCGAGATCGTGCCATGGCGCTCCAGGCAGGGTAACAGAACGAGACTGTGCCTAAAAACAAAAATAAAAACATTACAGATGAGGCTGCCATCCCTGCTAGCATCCTAATGTGATTCCCTGTGCTTCCTCCAGAGACTCAACCTCTGTTGTTTGTTATGTGTCTTTCTAGACCTTTCTGTATGTTTTCACATAAATATCCATTGAAAATCTATTTTTATTCTATTAGTTAACACCGAGAAAAGAAAAGGTAGGACTTAGAGACTCAAAACTTAAAATATGGAGAGGAGAAGGAATATGATTTTTATAATGGTATATGGAACAATGTAATGTGTGTATTTCTTTTATAGAAATGTGATTTTATCTAAATATGATTCATAATTTCCTCTTAACAATGTCTTAGAGACATTTATATTAGTGAAGTTATAATATAGTTTATATTATAAAGCTTGGTCCTTCCATTTCCTCCTTGTCCAGTTTTATTTTTTATTTTTATTTATTTATTTATTTTTATTTTTTATTTTTTTATTTTTTTGAGACAGAGTCTCGCTCTGTCGCCCAGGCTGGAGTGCAGTGGCGCGATCTCGGCTCACTGCAAGCTCTGCCTCCCGGGTTCACGCCATTCTCCTGCCTCAGCCTCCCAAGTAGCTGGGACTACAGATGCCTGCCACCACGCCTGGCTAATTTTTTTTTTATTTTTAGTAGAGACTGGGTTTCACCATGTTAGCCAGGATGGTCTCGATCTCCTGACCTCGTGATCCACCCGCCTCGGCCTCCCAAAGTGCTGAGATTACAGGCGTGAGCCTCCGCACCCGGCCATCCAGTTGTTTTTATCTCTGTGAGTTTGAACTAATGAAACTGGGTTCCATAAATCATGCAAGGAAATTCATTTGATAGTGCTGTAATGCAAAAAGAACAAATTATTATTCTCCAACTTTATCATAAGTCAGTCTCATAAATTTTAAAAATTAGTGAAAATTTGAGTAACACTTTCGTATGTAACAGTAAAATCATTGAATTTTAGAGAACAAAAGGATTTTAGAGACACTCTTTTTTAATTCCCATTTTATAGAAATGAAAATTGGGTCCCAGATTGGAGAGTAGACAGATTCAGAGTCACACAAGTAGTGGAATTAAAAAGACCCGGCTGCCTAACTCCTAGCCCTGTTGGGTCTCTACTAGAAAAATCATGGAGTATAGAGAAGTAGTCTGTAGTGAGAACTAGAACATGGTCCGGTTTTTCAAAAATAGAGGTAAAACAGACTCTGAACTCTACATAAAGCAAACTTTATCTAAATTAATGTCAGAATTCTTGATGTATTAATTAAGGTTTTTTGGTTTTAAGTAATAGAAACCCACCTCAAACCCACAGTAATTTAAAGAAACATGGGAATTTATTGGTCCTCATAACTGAAAGCCCATGATTGATTCAGGCGCAGCTGTATTTGGGACTTAAGTGTCCTAAACGATCTCCTTTTTTTCATCATTCAGCTCTGCTTTTCTCTGTTAGATCCATTCCCAGTCTAGCTTACACCTTTGGTGGCAAGATTATTATTAACGACTCTAGGCTTATTTCTCACCACTCTAGACTTGCTTCTCTGCAGAAAAATGATTTTTCTTTCCCAACAGTGTCAACAAAAGCTGTGTAATTGAGTCTCAGTGGCTAGGAATGGCCTGGCCTGGATCATATGTACAGAACCAAACCAGAAAGTGTGAACTGCAGTATGTGATTGACTAAACCTGCATTCCTGGGGCTCCTTCCTGGGACCCTAATCCACATCTGACACCTGGGAGAGGTCCCCTGGAAAATGAGAGTGCCGCTACTTGAAAAGAGGGAGTAAAGATTGCATAAGCCAGAACATCAGATGTCGGCTTCACTTTTTCATTAAATGGATGAATATGCAAAAACTGCAATTACTTGTGCTCCAACCTAATAGGAAAGAAATGATAAGAAAATGATCACTAGGAGGCAGCATATGTTACTAAGAATGGTAATTTAATTGAGATACAGACTCAAACTGTGTGAAAAGAAATCTAGTAGCATTTAAGTTTTATTTTACCTCATGTGGGGGAGAAGAGATATGTCAATGATCCCCTTTTGATAAATAATAAAAAATCGTTATCATTTCTTAACACCTCCCAGAAAACATGTCCAATTAAATATTGGAAAGCACACTAATTAGTAAGTCATCCATTTCTAATTCAGATTTTTGGAAGTTAAAGATTACTTTCACAAGATACAACAATTTTTGAAATGCATGAGTTTTATAAGACTTCTTCATTCAGAATAACATTTACAAGGATAGTTTTGTGATTGGAATTTTAGCTGCTTTCTTTTTGGAGCTATAGGAGAAGAGAAAACATTTTCTCCTACATATTTTGCAGAATTTCCTTTTATGAGCAGCAAAAACAATGTTTATATATATTTTAAGATCGATCACTTATTTTATTAGTTAGCACTGAGGAAAGAAAAGGCAGGACTTAGAGGCCCAAAATATAAAATATGAAAAGGAAAAAGAATAAAATTCTTAATAAATGGTATATGGGGCATGTAATATGCATCTACAATTAAAAATTATAGAAAACTAATCTGATTCCTTCTTTTGATAGAGTTACTAGACTAACAGGTGTATCTACATTTTCAAATCACTTGGTAACTTTTCTTTGTGTGTGTGTGTGTGGGCAAGATGGAGAAATGTGAGTTAGACAATTAAAAACTTAGGTGAATTTATAGTTGGGGAGCAGCCATACAAGGAAAGCATGTTTGTTCATGAATTGCTGGATATCAACCTGGAGGGAATTCTTTAAAGACAAAGCATGGTGTTTTATACCTGACCATGTTTATTCGATGTTTTCATAAATTACTTAAATCACAGTATGTAGGTATACTTATGACTCTGTGAAAGAAAAAAGGCTAGAAATGGTGATGCAAGAGAGATCATAATTCCATGTAGTCTGTCTCTTGTATTTTGATCAGATCACATCTGGAGCTTTGTTTCTGTTTCTGAGTGCAGTAACTGAAAGAGGTTAGTTACCAATAAACAAAAAAACAAACCCTAAATTAAAAACAAAAAGGAGCAACATTATTGATAAGACTAGGGAGAGTTGAGGGGAAATCAGGTAGATTTAGAGGGGCTCTAGACACTGTACCGTGTGATGAATGCTTTAGGAATATGAGAATGCGCTGAAGCCTTGTGAAGAGAGAATAGCTGCCTTTCTGTTTGAGCTTTCATGTATAAGAGAAAGCAGAACTGCTTATTCTGTGATATCCTAGAGCCACATTTCATAGAGTTAATCTGTCATGCACCTTTTTTTCCTCTTGTATGTGACACCTGTTACCATTCTATGAAACAAATGCTGAGAAATACCACCTCTTTAAATTTTTTTTTTTTCAATTTTATTTTAAAGACAGAGTCTTGCTCTGTCACCCAGGCTGGAGTGCAGTGGCACCATCATGTTTCACTGCAGTCTTTAGCTCCTGGGATCAAGCGATCCTCTTGCCTGGGTCTCCTATGTAGCTAGCACTACAGGCATGTGCCACCACACCTGGCTAATAAAAAAAAATTTTTTTTTATATAGACAGGATTTCCCTATGTTGTCCATGCTGGTCTCAAACTGCTGGCCTCAAGCGATCCTCCCAAAGCACTGAATTACAGATGTGAGCTACCACATCCAGTCAGAGAAAAATCAGTTCTGTATAGATTATTATATTTTCGGGGGACAGAGATTAGTGGGGGTGGGTAGTGGGTTGATATTATAGAAGCAGATTTTCAATTCAGCCTAATAAAGAAAAACTTTGTGATTTAGAAAAAGATTGCTGGTGATTGAGGTGAAAGTATTGCCTCAGAGTTTTCAGCAGCCCACCTTTCTCCATGTTATCCAAATTCAGTGATTAGTGGTTAAAGCAGGAAGAATCATTCTAATTTTTATGTAGTCTACTCCTCCAGAAACAAATTATGATAAGATCTTGTTTGGGTTTATGTATATTCAGCATAGGAACTGATTTATATATAATAGAGTTAGGGAAAATTGAAAGTGGTGGAAATTTGGAACATTTGGGAATCATTCATATTTTCATGTTTTTTAAAACTAGATTCACCTGGTAACTGAAGAGGAGGGATCAGCTAATATGTATGCAATACATCAGGTAAATTTGCTTAAAAATTACTATCACTTAGATCTAAGTGTAGACATTGTCCCCAAAAAGCAAAATGTTAACTAGTTCCCCTCCTCTTTTTTATTAAACAACTTTTAAATTAAGGTATAATTTATATACAATTAAATTCACTTAGTTTACAATTGTATAGACTTTGATAAACATATTTTTGATAAATGTAGGACTGTGTGGCCACCACAAATATCAATCATAAAGAACAGTTTCCTCCCCTCTCCAAATTTTCCTGCGCCCATTCCCATCCCTCACCCCTGGCAACCCCTGATCGGTTTTCTGTCACTATGGTTTTGCCTTTGAAATAATGTCATATAAATGGAATACTACAGTATATGGCCTTTTGTGTCTGGCATCTTTCACTTAGCATAGTGAATTTCAGATTCATTCATATTGTGTATATTTGAATTTTTTACCTTCTTCCTTTTCTTGACTACCTTTTGGTGCTGTTCAAGAAAACTGTCTAGAAGACACCAGCAAAGGAAGAACAACCCACAAAATGCAGTGTTTACTCACAAGCAGCTAAGAAAATAAACATTGAATGTGTTGCTATGTGTTTGTTTTCTTGTTCTGGAAGAAATAAGAAAATTTAAAATTGTCCACCAAAATACCGGTAATGTGACTGAGCAGTAGAGGTTACTCTTTGTGTTATAGAAAGTACATGCTTTATTTTATACAGATTAAGTCTTTATCAGCTAATTAAGTGTACCTAAACTTCTTAAACAGTGGATTGTTTAATAATATCTGATTTGAGTTGGTTACCTTAGTTATTGTGAGTCCTTGATTTTAGTTAGCTATTTTCTTTGGCAGCATAAAAATATCATAGCATATTATTTAAAGCATGTTTTAGGCTGATTGTGGTGTTTATATTCTGAGACTATTTTTACAAATCCAGGTCGCAGTCATAAAAGTACATTAAAAATATGATCATGTATCTTTTTGAAGGCTATTTTCATATTTTTTCCCTCTTTTCTTTCACAGGTGGTTCTTCCAGTACTTGGATACAATATTCAGTACCCGAAGAACAAAGTAGGGCAGTGGTACCATGACATACTTAGCAGAGATGGACTACAGACATGTAGGTTTAAAGTACCTACTCTGAAACTGAATATACCAGGTTGCTATAGACAGATTTTGAAACATCCCTGTAATCTCTCATACCAACTAATGGAAGATCATGACATTGATGTCAAAACGAAAGGTTCCCACATTGATGAAACAGCTTTGTCTCTTTTGATCTCTTTTGATCTTGATGCTTCATGCTATGCTACCGTTTGTCTGAAGGAAATAATGAAGCATGACGTTTAAAACTGATACCCTTGGTATAACCATATATATGTCACTCTTTGAAGGAAAGGGGGCTAAAATGTCTTAAGCACCTTCCATGTGTTAGGAACTTCATAATTGTTATCTCTTTTAATTTTCACAGCATCCTGAGAAGTTAGGATTTGATACTGTAATTTTATAGAGGATATGTAAGTGTCAGGGTCCAAATTTAAGGTCCATGTGACCCCAAAGCCTGTGTTTTTTTTCTATTATATGTTTCAGTGACCTTTATTCTGTGTCATAAAGTTACAATCTTTTAAAACCATTAGGAATATATATAATACTGCAAGATAACATTTAAGAAAAAAAGTTGTGAATATTCATATCCTCCAGCTCCTTGCTTAGAACACTAGTAAAATTAGGTCGCAGTGAAGCAAATGTTGGAGAGAAAGATAGATGAAGCATTTTGCTAATTATTATTGTCCCCCTTTCCTGTTTTTGAAATTATTGATCAGAACAATATACAAGGGAAATGCCATACCTCTGTTTGTGATAGATACCCCAGAGTAGTTATTACCTCTTTGTGAGATAAGTAATCTTTGATGAAGATTGAAATACAATTTCTCATCCAATTTTTATATCTTGGCATACGCTGACCCTCTTGACCATTTGTAATTTTTTCATATTATCTAAAACAGGTGTTAGAGTCAGACAGATTCATTCTTAGATTCTAGCTCTGACACTTACTAGTGATTTTGAGTATGTTGTTGATTTTTTTGTGTGTGGTTACTGATAGAATCAAGACAATTACAACTTCATAAATGACAAATAATAGGATTATCTCCACATTTTCTGTTGCTGGAGGAACAAAACATTGTGCCCATTTGAAAATTTTAATTTTTGTTGGTTTAACTATCCCACATTATAAATCATCCTTCACCATTTTATATCAGTTAAATATGGGTGTGTTGGGGAGGAATGACTGGCATGTAGACATGTATTGATTTAGGAAGATCTGAGCATTTCTTTCATTGTTGGTAAGATATAATGATGAAATTTAAAAAGCAGTATGGAGCATTATATATCAGTAATGTGATATATATACTTAAGCCAGTTTAACCATTTTGGGAAATGTTAGCATTAGGAAATAAAATCCAAAAGAAGGAAGAGAAGCTATATGCAATGCAAAATTTGCTTATTGCAATATTTTCATATACAGACACTAAAAACAGTTTTCAAAGTCCAGCATTACGTAACTAAAGTAAGTAAAATGATGTGTATCAACTTGATGGTAAAATATGTAGTTATTTAAAAAAGCAATGAACAATTTAGTTTCATGAGAAAATGTTGCCCCCTAAAAGTAGAACACATATGTTACAACTGCAATAATACTCTGAATTCATCTTTCACAAATAAGAGACATGTTAGCATAGTGATTAAAAGCACAGATATTGGAGACAAACTAACCCAGTTTGAACCCTGGCACTGCCACGTATAGCACTGCAGCCTTGGGAAAGTTATTTAAACTCATGGGCTTCAGTTTCAACATCTGTAAAATGGGCATGTTAACATTGCCTACCTCATAGGATTACTGTGAGAATTTTCTAAGTTAATATATGTAAAGCAACTTTAAAAAGTGCCTGGCACTTAGTTATTGTTAAGTAAGTGTCTGCAGATGCAAGTTTGGAAGAGAAAAGCAAATAAATGAAAATCCCTTCCTGTTAAGATGATGGGGTATTTGGATTTTTTTTAATACTAAAAAGTTTTTTTTGTTATATGTTTTGGCAATAAATAATTCTCAATACACAAAATTGGATATTGTAGTACCATTGATTTTCTTTGGATTACTGCCATCATTTTAATGTTATATTGAGAATGAAGTGATCCTCTATTAGGTAGTAAAAAAAATTTAGAAAAAATGTTTTATTTTATATGATAAATCGTATCCTATAAATGTAATCATAAAATGAGTTATATACATTATTAAATCCTAGTTTTTAAAAGTTTTGAATAGCAATCAGAAAATACGAAAGCATGAAAATATATCATTGATTTTACTTTTTTTGCCTGCAGATGGCACTATAATTTTAGACATTTATTGATTTATTTAGTAAATACTTCAGCAGTGTATAAAGGAACACTAAGTTTATTTCATCACCATAAAATGTATTGAGATATCATTCATGTGGAATATTATTTTATATGCCAATAAGATGCCATGTTAAACTTTTTTTGTTTAAGGACTTTTATTATTAATAGTATGCTTTGGACCAACTGATGACTAGTCACTTAGGTTTTTGCAGTTTTGCTGGGGCATTTCAGACCTTCATAAGCATGATCTTTGGATTAGTTTTTTTTTTTTCTTCACCTCATTATTAGGAGTTAATTTATTTTTAAAGTGTCATCTTAAACTGCAAGGATGTCCTTTAAACATCACATGCCAATTAAACATGCCGAAGGAGAAGCTGTGTCATCAAAATGCCCACTTAACCTACCCAAACATCTCAAACCTACCCTTTGCTGACCTTCTATAGCCCCATTTCCAAAGTTTTGCTTTATTTTTATTTTTTCTTCCAACTTTTATTTTAGGTTTAGGGGTACATGTGCAGGTTTGTTACATGGGTAAATTGCATTTTGTGGGAGTTCTGCATACAAATTATTTAATCACCCAGATAATGAGCATAGTACCTGATAGGTTGTTTTTCTATCCTCATCTTTCTCCCACCCTCCACCCTCAAGTAGGCCATGGTGCCTATTGTTCCCTTCTTAGAGTCCAAGTGTACTCAAAGTTCAGCTCCCACTTATGAGTAAGAACATTTGGTATTTGGTTTTCTGTTCCTGCATTAATTTGCTTACAATAATGGCCTCCAGCTACATCCATGTTGCTGGAAAGACATTATTTTGTTCTTTTTTATGACTGTGTAGTATTATCTGGTATACATGTACTACATTTTCTTTATCCAGTCCACTGTAATGGGCATCTAGGTTGGTTCCATGTCTTTGCTATTGTCAATAGTGCTGTAATGAACATAGGCGTGCATGGTCTTTATGGTAGAACAATTTATATTCCTTTGGGTATATAACCAATAATGGGATTGCTGGGTCAAATGGTATGTCTGCTTTAAGTTCTTTGAGAAATCTTCAAACTGCTTTCCACAGAGGCTGAACTAATTTATATTCCCATCAGCAGTGTATAGCATTCCCTTTTCTCTGCAGCCTCCCCAACATCTGTTATTTTTTGACTTTTTAATAACAGCCATTCTGACTGGTGTGAGATGGTATCTCGTTGTGGTTTTGATTTGCATTTCCCTAATGATTAGTGATGTTCAGCATTTTTTCATATGCTTTTGGCCCATGGATGTCTTCTTTTGAGAAGTGTCTGTTCATGTCCTTTCTTCCGTTTTTAATGGGATAATTTTTTGCTTGTTAAGTTCTTCATAGATTCTGGATATCAGACCTTTGTTCATGCATACTTTGAAAATATTCTCTCCCATTCTGTAGATTGTCAGTTTACTCTGTTGATAGTTTCTTTGGCTGTGCAGAAGCTATTTAGTTTAATTAGGTCCCACTTGTCAATTTTTTTTTTTTTTTAGATGGAGTTTCCTTCTGTCACCCAGGCTGGAGTGCAGTGGTGCAATCTCGGCTCACTGCAACCTCCTCCTCCTGGGTTCAAGCCATTCTCCTGCCCCAGCCTCTCAAGTAGCTGGGATTACAAGTGGCCACCACCACACCTGGCTAATTTTTGTATTTTTATTAGAGACGGGGTTTCACCATGTTGGCCAGGCTGGTCTCAAACTCTTGACCTCAAGTGATCTACCCACCTCGGCCTCAGAAAGTGCTAGGATTACAGGCATGAGCCACCATGCCCAGCCTTCACTTGTCAATTATTGGCTTTGTTCCAGTTGCTTTTGGAGTCTGTCATGATATCTTTGTTAGGTCTTTTGTCCAGAATGATATTTCCTAGGTTTTCTTCTAGGGTTTTTATAGTTTTAGGTTTTACATTTACATTGTTAACCCATCTTGAGTTGATTTTTGTATATGGTAAAAAGAAGGGGTCCAGTTTCAATCCTCAGGATGTGGCTAACCAGTTATCCCAGCACCATTTATTAAATAGGGAGTCCTTTCCCTGTTGCTTGTTATTGTTGACTTTAACAAAAATCAAGTAGCTGTAGGTGTGTGGCCTTTATTTCTGGGTTCTCTAACCTGTTCCATTGGTCTATGTGTCTGTTTTTGTACCAGTACCATGCTGTTTTGGTTACTATAGCCTTGTAGTTTAGTTTGATGTCAGGTTGTGTGATGCCTCCCTCATTGCTATATTTGAATTAGTTTTAATTGCCAAGGTTGTTTGACGCTGAGCTAGCAGTAGTGCCTGGGAGTCGGTTAGGTGAAACAAATTGAGGTCTTTTACTAATATTAAAATTAAAACACCTTGATTTTTTTTTTGTGAGCTGTAAAAAACTGAAAGTCATGTAACTTTTGATTTAACTAACATTTTCTGAGTATCTATTATGTCAGTATCTCACACTTTAATCCATATTCCCACCCTGTGTGGAGGTATTATCTTCCCTTATTTGCAGATTGGAAACATACCTGAGTAGTTTACTAACCTAATCAAGGTCAAACAAAATAGCGTGTGGTTGAGCTTGATTATGCTTCTTAAATCAGTACTGTTTTCATCTACCTAACATTTGCCTTCTGAGAACAAGTTTTTGGATATTAACTTCCATTTAGGCCAGGCACGGTGGCTCACGCCTGTAATCCCAACACTTTGGGGAGGCCAAGACGAGTGGATCACGAGGTCAGGAGTTCAAGACCAGCCTGGCCAAGATGCTGAAACCCTGTCTCTACTAAAAATAAAAAAATTAGCTGGGCTACTTGGGAGGCTGAGGCTGGAGAATCGCTTGAACCCGGGAGGTGGAGGTTGCAGTGAGCCGAGATTGCCCAGCCTAGGTGACAGAGCGAGGCTCCACCTCAAAAAAAAAAAAAAACTAAACTAAAAATTAAAATATAACTTCCATTTCTACCAACTTGATATAACTTGCCATTGATTTAATAGGCATATTGGGGCATGTCTTGGGAGAGACAAGATACCTTTTGATTCTGAGACCAAAATATAAAGTAAAGGGGATCCCTTCAGGAAATCCCCAAATCATTTTGGAGTTTTCCCAAAGTATTTTGGGATTTGTATCATAATAATATGTAAAATCATTATAGATCATAGGAGGTGTTTTAGATGGTACCTGGCACAAATATCATTGAAAAAGCATAGTGAGAAACTTGTTCTTTTTCAATATACTTTCAGTCCTCACATCAATCATTCTGTTTAAGGAAGGAGAAAGCTGATTGATACTATTTACATATATCAACATTGGCTGATTTACCTTTTTAGCCAACTATGCAGGCCTCAGGCTCAGAAACATCAGCAGTCAACAATATAATATGTAGCTAGAATGTAATAGGATTGCATTGTTTTATTGAATTTATCTTCCCTTTTATTTATGGTAATCAATTCTGGCTTCCTGTTTATGTGATGGTATTATGTTTCCTTTAAAACTAAATTTAATTTTAAAGAGGTAGAATCAATTTAAAGGTATTAAATAAATAATAGTATAGACATAGCAGTAATTATGATACCAATACATGAAGGATTAGAGTATGGGAAATATACTGGTACAGTTGAGAATCCCTGAAATCAGAGATGGGCTCTACCACTGCTTTAATATGCGACTTTAGTAACCCACTGATTCTGTTGTAGAATTCTTGGACTTGAAGTACTGTTAGTTATCATTTTTCAGTCCAGGATAGTATTGCATCAAACAAAATTATGAAATATATACAAATTTGAGACATTATGAGCAGAGGCATTGATGACCACATGCTATATCTTAAAATTTTACTGATAGTTGATTTTAGCAAGTCTTATGAAACACTAAGAACAATGTCTGGTGCCTAGCAAATTCTCAGTAAATTTCAGCTAGTATTATTACAGTTAGTATTACTTTACTATGCTCCCTGATAAAATTTTTATAATAAAATGGTTAATGACTTTCCATTGAGGTCTGATCTGACTTAGTTTTAGCATAAAGTAATTACAATTCATATTTTTAGAGGTTTTTTTTTTTGTAGTAGTAGAAACAACTATTTCTAAATCTGGGGATTCAGTAGTTCATTCAAATTAGGATCTTTAAGAGCTGTCTAGGTCAATGTTCCTTAACGTTTTCTACCTGGGAGTAATCTTTAAGAGAACAAAAAGAAAATGAAACTCTATATAATTTAATGCAAAGTCTTTTACATTAATGTAAGGGTAGGAAAAGAGGTTGGAGGAAGATATGGGGAGGTAGGAAAATGGGACTTTTTTCCTCCATTTACTTTTGATGTTTGAATTTCAAACATGAGTATATTTGTGTATTATTTTGCGGTTAAAAACACTGAAGATTGCATAAAGATCAAAGAGGGAAATTTAAGGGAATTAATGGGTTATGATTGCATTTGTTCAGAATGGTTTTGGTGGCTCATGACAACATTTTGAGAGAGAGAGATTTTAATGGCACCAATGGCAGCTAGGATAACTAGTTTAAAGTTTAGGGCCTGTGTTAATAGATTTTGCTTTCTAGTTTCAGAAAGATTCTCTTATAGTACTGTTTTAATCTGTTTTTCTAAGCCCTCTGATTTATGTATATTTAATAGGCCACAAAATAATGTCAAATATATGGCATAATAACCAACAAATATTTGAATAAGTGAAAGGTACTCTACAAAATGCTATGGGAAAGACAAAAATAAATAATATCCCTTTCTTTGAGGGATTAACAGTGTTAATATCCCTTGTTTTCATTTGATTTGAAATGCCACTTGCAAGTGGAATATGCAGACTAAATGGTAAAGAGAAAAACAAGCAGCATCTTTTCATTTCACTTACAGCTCACTGTATGACCAATAATATGTTACTTGACCTCTCAGCACTCCATTCTAAATCCTTAAATGATACTTATTTAGCATTTCTAAGCATCTTGAGATCTCCTCTTAAAATATGCTTTGAACTATTCAGTCTAAATGCTGCTTTCTAAAAAGCTACTAGTTTAAAGAATGGGAAATGGTGTTAATGGAGTTAATCTTGTGTAATTTCAGTGTGGGTTGTCAAGAATACCTCTAAGTAAAGAAAATGACTCTAATCTTCTTAAGCAATTCATTTTCTCAGCAACTTTGAGGCAGGAGTTAATTTACTCTGCCTGTGTACATAGGCCATCTCTTACAAAAGAAAAATTTTACTATGGAAAGAAGTCAGAATAGCCATGAAATTATTTAAATTTAGTCTTTAGAACATATTACAAAATATAAGATATATTAAATTGTCTTTTTTGTTAGAAACTCAACTACCAATGTAGAAATAAAACTCCTGTTGCAAGGATGGAGTTTAGCCATGGAGTCAAAACAAGAGCTATTTGGTTATTTTAAAAGAGAAGAGATCAAAGAGCTGGTCACTCCTTAACTAAGGGTGTTTGGGCAGCAGGATAGGGTGAAGAGTGGAGGGGGTTGAACTCAATTCTTTATGCTTTTATACCAAGCCTCCCTTTTCTAATAAGCCTTACTGGCATTTCCTTAGACTAGTTAAGTCAGGATTCTGAGTTTTTCAGTACAATAGGGTTTTAATCTGAGCTGATCATTGTTTCCAATGCCTCCCCTGTGGCAGGGGAACATAAAGGACTAGTGTTCTTTTCTAAAAAGGGAAGATGGATATTTTTTCTATAACCTTTATAATTCCATTATAATAAAATGAATGATAGGTTATAATAAAATGAATTTTTTGCATATGATTTTCAAAAGGAAACTAATTTATTTTTCTATAAAATATCGCAAAGGAATCGAATACATTTTTATTCTATGTAAATAATAATATAATTTTCACATTTAGGAGGCAATAGCAAATCTGGGAAGCAGTTATTCTAAGTTGGAAGAGCATTATCCCAATGCATTGAAAACATTTGATGACTATTTTTTATGTCTTCTTTATTTTGATGATTATAATAATGTTCTAACTGGGTGGCCTTCGTTTTTCACTCTAGTCAGTCCATCTTGTTTACTATGTCAATTGTTCTCCAAAAAGTAGAAATGTCATTGTTTTGGGGCCATAGAACATTTCAGAAGCTTTCCAGTATCTATGCAGTAACAGTCCAAACCCCTCAACATAACACATTTACACCTGCAAGTATGGCCCCAAATCTTCAAGTGGCTTCTGTCACTACTCCATAGTACATACCCTTTGTTACAGCTGTTTCACAAATACAGGTTGAATATCCCTTATCTAAAATGTTTGGGACTAAAAGTTTCAGATTTCAGATATGTTTGGATTTTGGAATATTTGTACATGTATAATGAGATACTCTTAGAGTTGGGACCCAAGTCTAAACAAAATTCATTTATGTTTCATATATACCTTATACACATAACCTGAAGGTAATTTATTTTTCCCTTGGGAACACTGAATAGACTATATGTTGTGCACCTACATTTTGACTGTGACCTATCACATGAAGTCAGGTGTGGAATTTTCCATTTGTGGCATCATGTCAGTACTCAAAAAGTTTTGGATTTTGGATTTTGAATTTTCAGATTAGAGATGCTCAGCCTAATAGCAAATGTTCCCATGTTATACACCTCAACCTCCCATTCCCATTGGCTGGAACATCTCTGCTTATATTAAATGTCTTTTATGTGAAATCTGTGTTCTCATAGCCTTTTGTATAGTTCTCTACCATCTCATGGCTCACATTGTATTGTACTTATTTGATTAAATATCTGGATCATCTACTGTGAATTATTCAAGAGCATTGATCTTTATACCTCTGGCACCTATCAGTGCCTGACATATAACAGGGTTAAAAATGCTGAGTGAATACTGCAAATATACCTTAGCAAATTTATTTGCTGAATACACATCTCAAGAAAGTTCTGAAATAGTTATTTCCCCTCATAGAAAGTTTAGAGTATTAAAATTGGGTATCTTTATAATGCTTTTTCTTTTGTAATACTTTCATCTTTGCCTTTTATTGAAATATTAAATGCATTGTAGAATTTGATTTAAAATTTAGAACAAGCTGTCAGGTATGATAACTAGTCTCATTTAACAAATGAGGATTCCAGGGCTTGAAGAAGTTAAGTAGCTTCCTCTAGATTGTAAAGAGAGTCTAACCTGGCCCTTTTTGGTTTTAAGGGCATGATGATAACCACTTGCTCTACTGATTTCTAATGGAAAGTGCTTCAGTTTTCCACTTTGCCTAGCTAGTGATTATTTAATATCTGCTTATCTCTGAATTTATCTGCATATTTCTAAAACTTTATGACATTAAGGAAAGTTGGGGAAAATTCACTTTAAGTGTTGTAATGACAATAGCTATCAATCATTGAGTACTGTGTACTAAGCATTTTATATTTTATCAACAAGTACTTACATGTGGGATAAGTACTGTTATTATTTTCATTTTATAGATGAGGACACATATAGAATGCAGTTAGGAAACTAGAGAAAGAGAAAACATGGAGAATTATCTGGAACTAATAAGACAGTAAAGTACAGATTTAAGAAGTTCAGTGAATCCCAAGCAGTGTAAATTAAAAAACTACATTGAGATACATCATAGTGAATATGCAAAACATCAATAATAAAAAGAAAAACCTTAAAGGCAGCTTTAACAGTATACTGAATGACCAATATACTCAGCAGCCACAGAACCTCTATTCTTTTAAAGCATCCATGGGACATTTATAGAAATTGACTATGCACTGGACTATAAGCATATGCAATAAAATTTCAAATGACTGAAACCATATGAGTATATTCTTTTGCCACAACACAATTAGGCTAGAAATGAACAACAAAAAGATAACAGGAAAATCTCTATATATCAGAAATTAAGAGATGCACTTATTTATTTTTTGTTTTTTGTGATGGAGTCTCACTCTATCACCCGTGCAGTGGCACGATCTTGGCTCACTGCAACCTCTGCCTCTTGGGTTCAAGTGATTCTCCTGTATCAGCCTCCCAAGGAGCTAGGATTACAGGCGTGTGCCACCATACCCAGCTAATTTTTGTATTTTTATTAGAGATGGGATTTCACCATGTTGGCCATGCTGGTCTCAAACTCCTGACCTCAAATGATCTGCCAGCCTCAGCCTCCCAAAATGCTGGGATTACAGATGAAGAGATACACTTCTAAGTAATCTATATGTCAAGTAAGACAAAATGAAATTAGAAAATATTTTTAAGTCAATGATATTAAACCATACTACACATCAAAACTTGTGGGATGCACTTAAAGCAGCATGTAGAGGGAGATTATATTCATAAATGCTTATGGTAGAAAAGAAGGAAGTCTGTACATTATGTAGCTATGCACCCATCTAAAGAAGTTAGGAAAATGACATCAAGTAGAACATCAAAAGAAAGAAGGAAAGGATAACTTAAAACAGAAATGAATGAAATAAAACCAGAATAGAAGAGACGATCTACAAATCCAAAAGTTGGTTTGTTGAAAATACTAGTAGAGCTGACATACTTGTGGTGAGACTGATGGAAATAATGCAGTTACAACTAACCAATATCATAATTGGAAAGGAAATCACTATAGGTGCTGTAAAAATTAAAAAGATAATAGAATATTATGAACAATTTTCTGCCAATATTATTGAAAGTTTAGATAAAATGGAAAATTCATTTAAAAATATAATTTGACAGTATTATGTTATGTGAATACTATAATGATAATCCTGTAATCATTAAATGAACCAGTAGTTTAAAATTTTTCCATATAGGGAAGGTCAGGGCCAGATGTGTTCAATGGTTGGTTCTACTAGACATTCAAAAAAATAATAATTCAAGTCTACACAAACTTTCCTGAGATTAGAAAAAATAAAGAAGAGTCCCCCCACCTGTTTCTTACTTTATGAGACCACACCTAAAAGATAGAAGACTGCTTTGCAACCAAGAAATCCTTCATGAACACCTCTTTAATCACAAGTCCTCAACTCCAAGGTTAGCTTTATTTCAACTTTTATAATACTTTTCTTACTTTTCTTGATAGCTTTACCACCCATGTATTCATTCCTAAAAAATACACAGTTTTGTCTGATTTTGAATTTTATGTGAATGGAATTGTACATATCTGTGTTTGTGTCTTCCTTGTTTTACTCAATACTGTTTCTGAGATCAATCACATTATTTGTTAATATTTTGTTTAGGATTTTTGCATCTCTATTTCAGTGTGTGTTTGGAATGTAAATTTCCATTCTCAGACTATCTTTTGGCCTGAATTTGGTTACATGAGTATATGTTCTAAAAATATTACTTACACTTTCAATAAATTTTAAGGACTTTTATATTGTTATGTATCAAATTTTTTAGAATGCAAGAATAAATATTATAAAACATCCTTTGGTTTGAGGAAACTACTAAATCTGTTAATAATCCTTTCAGCTCTATTGAAACAGATTCGTTTTTAAAAGCTGCCCTGTTTTTGCTTTGGGGTTTGGGGAACACACACACACGCAGATGCACACAAACGAACACATATATTGAACTTGCATATATATATATATATATATATATATATATATTTTTTTTTTTTTTTTTTTTTTTTTTTTTTTTCTTGAGACAGAGTCTCACTCTGTTGCCAGGCTGGAGTGCAGTGGCACAATCTCGGCTCACTGCAACCTCCGCCTCCCGGGTTCAAGCAATTCTCCTGCCTCAGCCTCCCGAGTAGCTGGGACTACAGGTGTGTGCCACCATGCCCAGCTAATTTTTGTATCTTTAGTAGAGACGAGGTTTTACCATGTTGGCCAGGATGGTCTTGATCTCTTGACTTCTTGATCCGCCCCCCTCAGCCTCCCAAAGTGCTGGGATTGCAGGTGTGAGCTACTGTGCCCAGCTGGTGAACTTGCATTTTAAATGTAATAGGGAAGTAGTCTACCCTCAGCCTCCCAAAGTGCTGGGATTACAGGGGTGAGCTACCGTGCCCGGCTGGTGAACTTGCATTTTAAACGTAATAGCGGAGTAGTCTATGAGAAAACCCATGGTGATTACCATGACAACAAAGGAAACCATCTATAGAATGAAGACACAACCTACGGAATGGGAGAAAACATTTGCAAACCATACATATCATAAGGGGTTAATATCCAAAAGTAATTAATAGCAAGAAAAAAACTTGATTAAAATATGGACAAAGGACCTGAATAGACATTTCTCAAAGAAAGACATATAAATAACCAATAGGTGTATGAAAAAATGCTCAGCATCACTAATCATTAGGGAAATGCAAATCAAAACCACAGTGACTATCACCTCACATCTCTTAGAATGGCTATTATTAAAAAAGATGAAAGAACAAATCTTGCCAAGGATGTGGAGAAAAGGAAATCCTTGTACATTGTTGGTGGGAATGTAAATTAGTACAGACATTATAGAAAATAGTATAGAAACTACTCAAAAAATTAAAAATAGAACTACCATATGATTCAACAATCTTACTACTGGGCATATATTCGAAGGAAATGAAGTAAGTATGTTGAAGAGATCTTTGCACTCCCACGTTTATTGCAGCAGCATTCACAGTAGCCACAATACAAACCAACCATTCAGCAGATGAATAGATACAGAAAATGTGGTGCATATACACAATGGAATACTATTAAGCCTTTAAAAAGAAGGAAATTCGGTCATTTGCTATAACATGGATGAACCTGGAGGACTTTTCAATAGCTGTAAACTTTGGATGACTCTAAAAGAAGACTAAAATTTTCCAAAAAATTTTATATGCAGTTAAACAGCATTTACTATTTGGTAGGCACTGTCACAAACACTTTGCCTGTTATTCTTTTAATCCTAAGTTTAGCCAAGAAGTGTATATACCCATTGCACACACAAAACCCACTATTAAAATATTATGGTCAGAAAAGCAAGCGCGAATGTCTCATTAAAATTGCAAAAATATTTTATGTTGAAATTTTATACAAATTCTATACTTAATATCTTCCCTAGTAGTTGTATTTTGTTTTTCTTATAATTATTTAAAGAAAGGTAATCATTTTTTTCCCCCACTGATACCCCTAATCCTCTCCAGTCTACTTTAGAGAGACACAATTATCATTTTCTTCATGTGAGGGGAAAAAGTTGGGGAGCAATACACTATATGGAGTCAGATAAAATAGAGGAAGAAGCTGAAGGCAAAATTCCTCATTATTCTTAACCATTCTGCATTTTCAAGGTATATTAAAAATAAATAATGTTATAAAATATGATGTCCATATAAAAATGACATTTATTGCCCTGTGTGTTTCTTCTTTGTTTTTCTCTCTCTTTTTGGTCCATGCCCCCATGCTCTCAGTCTTCACTGGACTTGATCAGTTCCACAGCCACAGAAAGCCATAGGTGGTTGGTTGGCTTCATAAGATACTTCTGTGACCTTTGTACTGATGATTACTTAGTGTTCCCAAAAGAAAACTCACTAGGAGCCATCCTTCAACTTCAATGCCTGCTCTAATTTCACAGTGAAATATATCCTTGCACTTATAACCCCCTCATAGCTTATGTAACTCTACTGGGTATACTTGCATGGCTTAGTGCACTAAGAAAAGCTGGGGGCTACTCTACAGTTCACTCTGGCTATTTCTGGAGTTTTAGGATGTTTATTTTTATTATGCAATCAGTTTTTAGATGATGAATTAAAGTATTTTGATAATCAGCTGAATAGCTCTAACAATTGCAGTTGAATAGAATTTCTTTTAGTAGGAGCTACTGGGAAATATTCTGTATATGTTCTTTGATAAGAAAAATTAGCAAACTTAGCATTTTCAATCCTTGACTACTGCATTTACAATTGTATTTCATGTTATCCAAGAGACTAGATAAAACACTGTCTTATGAGACATGAGTTAGAATTTAGATTTCTGCCAAAACACCTTTAGGTGACTTTTGATATGAACATAGCTGTGTAAGTGGGGATTTTTTCCCCCTTCTGGAAGTCATACAAAAGTAATGAGAAAAATGACGTTAAAAAAACCCCTACAAACAATATAATAAGCAAATTTAACGACATCTATGAGCTACCAAGAGCAGATGAGACCTGAAAATTTGCATAATAGAGAATGAAAAAAGTGGCAAGACTGTTCAATAATAGCGGATCTCAAAAGCAGCAAAACTGCTTTTTCTAAAGAAAAAGTTAATTTGCTTATTGTCAAGGGTGTACAAAATTAAGTAAGCAAAACTGGCAGCAGAAACCCTGCTGAACCTGACTTGGGGCTAAACAAAGCATCACAAACAATGGTGTGCTATAGTTGTAGAAGTAGAAGAGGGAATCTTTGAGTTATAAAGCTTGGAAGATTTTCTTGGCCTCTCCCTCCTAATCAAGATCTTCCTGCAAATAGCTGCTCTGGGAAATTTAACTCATTGAATTACTAGTAATAAAAGATACTGGCATGGCCTCAATACATAGATACTGTAAGATAAACATGTGGAAGAGAGCAGCAAAATTTACCAACAGACTACACACAGGTGGCCATAAAGAAGATAAAAAATGTGATAAACATAATTTTTTTGTAAAGTAATAATTTCTATAAAGGATGGCTATAAAAAAGAAATGGATCAAGTATAAAAACACAGGAAAGATATAACAAGACGAAAGGAGGAGGAGGTGAAACCTGAGATAGTGGATCTTAGGAAAGATGCAAAAGACAAAAGCAAAATCATCAGAAAAATGGAAATAAATTGAAAGAAGCACAGGTAACAATAGACAATGAGGAAAACAAATTAAGAGAAAACAAAGACTACCACTAGAACCAAGTTGAGCTCTCCCAAGTATGAAGATTTAAACACACAACAGGTACCCACAAATGCAAGAAAAACAATAAAATGAAATGTTAATGGGTTAGGATATAAAAGACTACAAAAGACCTTTATGTTTGTGTTAACAAGAATCTCTGAGACAAAACAAAAATTATACTTTCCCATGGAATTAACAGAGGGTAATGAATTTAAGGAAAGCTTGATGGACTGACTATAAGGGTGATATAATTTTTTTTTTCTTTTTTAAGCAACATGGTCTTGCTATGTTGTTCAGGCTGGAGTGCACTGCCTATTCACAGGTGTGATTATCATAAGGCACTGCAGCCTCAAACTACTGGGCTCAAGCAATCCCCCTGCCACAGTCTCCAAGTAGCTGGGACTACAGGCACATGGCACTGCCCCAGGCTGACATGAATTCTTTATGGCTAAGCAGAGAGCCATATTAGCTCCCACTCTGAGGGTAGGTAAACTCAACCTAACATAATCTGTGTACCAGCCTAAGCTCAACTCAAACTCTAGAAAGAGTCAGAATAAACAGCCTTTCTTCCAACAGCCAAAAAAGGAAAGAGCTTGTACTGTTTGGGAAATAAATAAAACAAAACACCACTGATATCTTATACTCAATGTTGGGAATTGAATTCTTAAAATAAGGCATTTAATGAAGCAAGAAAATGTGATCCATAATGAAGAAAACACTTAACGTTAAAATATTGAAGAGCTTCTCCTAAAAGATCAGAAAGAAGGCAAAAATGTCTGCTGTCACCACTTCCGTGATAGTAGAGGTCCTAGCCAGGGAGATAAAGTAAGGAAAAGAAATAACATGTAAATACATAAAGTTTGGAAAGGAATAAATTTTTATCTTTGGAAGACAACATGTTGGTGGACATACAAAATGCAAAGGAATCTACAAACAGCCAGAACTAATCGTTGCTTTTAGGAAGTTCACAGACTAAAAGGTCAATGTGCAAAAGTTAACTCTATTTCTATGTAATAGCAACGAATAATTGAACAATGAAAATTTAAAAACAATAATATTTACAATAGCATAAAAGTATAAAACAAATAGGAGTGTATTTAACAAGTGGTTACATGTTCTCTACACTGTTAACAAAACATTTCTGAGAGAAAAATTAAAAAGACCTAAATAAGTGGACAGATGTATGATGTTCATGACAGTAAGACTCAATGTTGTTAAAATGGTTTACCCCAAATTGGTATACAGATTAGATTAAATGCCAACCAAAACACAACCTCTGTTTGACAGCCTGTTGTTTGTGTGAAAATGGTACAAATCAGCCGTCTCCAACCTTTTTGGCACCAGGAACTGGTTTCGTGGATGACAATTTTTCCATGGACGGGGCAGGGGAATGTGGGGAGATGGTTTTGGGATGAAACTGTTCCACCTCAGATCATCAGGCATTAGGAGCCCAAGACCTAGATCCCTCGCATGCACAGTTCACAATAGGATTTGCATCCCTATGAGAATCTAATGCTGCCGCTGATCTGACAGGAGGAAGAGCTCAGGCGGTAATGGTGGCTTGCCTGCCACTCACCTCCGGCTATGTGGCTGGGTTCCTAACAGTCCAGTGCCAGTACCAGTGGGTACCAGTCTGTGGCCCGGGAGCTGGGAACCCCTGGAACAATGATTTGGAAAATTGTTTGTCATTTTCTCATAAATTTCACATACACTTACAATATGATTCAGTAATTCCAAACTAGGTATTTACCAAAGATTAATGAAAATACATGTCTACACAAAAGAAGGATAAAAAATGTTCATGGTAACTGGGCTGTGCCGAGGTGGCTCACACCTGTAATCCCAGCACTTTGGGAGGCCGAGGCGGGCGGATCATGAGGTCAAGAGATTGAGACCATCCTGGCCAACATGGTGAAACCCTGTCTCTACTAAAAATACAAAAAATTAGCTGGGTGTGGTGGCGCGCGCCTGTAGTCCCAGCTACTCAGGAGGCTGAGGCAGGAAAATCGCTTGAACCTGGGAGATGGAGGTTGCAGTGAGCTGAGATCGTGCCACTGCACTCCAGCCTGGTGACAGAGCGAGACTCCATCTCAAAAAATAAATAAATAAATAAATAATAAATAAATAAATGTTCATGGTAACTTTATAATAGTCAACAACTGGAAGCAACCCAAATGTCCACAAAAGGAACATGGATAAACAGGTGATGGTATAGTTACATAATGGAATAAAAAACAATTTTAAGCTACTGATCACGCTGCATGCATGCATATTAAAAACATTATGTTACATAAGAGAAGCCAGAAGCAAAACAGAACATGTACTATGATTCCATTTATATGAAGTTCAAAGCAGGCAAAATAAACTATGGTAATAAAAATCAGATCAATGGTTGCCTCAGTTTGTAGGGGGGAGAAGAAGCCAGTGTGCAGAGGGAAGGAGGTTTGATTTGATCCAAGGGCCACAGGGAATTTTTCGTGTGAAAGAAATGTTTGGTACCTTGAGATGGGATAAATGGATTTATTAATTTGTCAAAACTTGTTACGCTGTACACAGTTAAGATCTGTGCATTTCTGCATGTAAATTATACTTGAATAAAAATATTATAAAATGTGTGTGGTAGCCATGGCAATTTTTCACTCAAATACTCCTCCAAGAGTGAGATTGGCAGGCAGCATGCAGTTAGCTACAGGCCTGCGTTTAGTTACCTACATACTTTCAGGATGTGCTGCAGCGTTGACGACAAGGACATGTTCTCTCCTGCAACTCCACCAGTGCTTAGCAGGGCAGGGATATTAAGGCCACATCTGTGCCCAATGTGAGGCTTCTCTAATGCACAGTCTTTGTTCTGGAGCTCCCTGTAAGGTTGGCCATGACTTTTTCAGAGCTGCACTGCAGTCAGAGGATCTTCCTACCCAACCCAACTATCCTTTCCTTCCCCTCCCTCTTCTCAAGTTTCAGACCCATACCATGGTCTGAAGGCTTTTCCTGCCTACTCTTGCTCCTTCTCTTCATTATCTGTCAGTCATTAATCCCCAAAACCTTTTGCATGTCTAATTCCATCTTGGCTTCTGACACAAACTATCAATTTAAAATAAAACTGTGAGGAAAATGAGGCCATATATATGTCATATCATAGCAGAAAGCAAATCTCACTCTATCCTGTATGATACAGGCTCACCTAAAACAAATAGATTCAAAGTGCTCATATATAAAGTCGTGAACAAAGGCAAATATGAACAGAAAGCAAAGGTCATAATGTTAATATCAGTTTAGAATGAATTCAAGTCAAAATCATTAAATAAGACAAAGAAGGATGCTTTATAGTGCTAAAACTTCCAGATTACAAAATTAAAATAAGCTGGAATAGTTATGCATTGAATAAAAGGCGTTTCATCAGTCCAAAAGCAGGTATTATATAAATAGAAGGAAAGATAGAAATATACTACTTTTAGGACTCTTCACTTCCCTCCATCCATGACAGGGTAAGTGGGAAAAAATATGTTTAGATATGAAAGAATTATGTTAATTCATAAGGTAGATATTTTATATATATAAAATGAGCTATATGCATGGAGAATACAGAATAAAACTTGTTTTCATTGCCAATGTAGCAGTCTATGGAAACTGGCCATATATTTACAAACATAAAAAATTAAATCCCATAACATTGAAAGAGTGGAAGCATCTTTCAATCACAATTTTATACAAGTAGAAATGATTAAGGAGTATAGCAAAAACACTATGAGGTCCCATGAGAGCAGGGACATTGTTGGTTTGTGGGTTTTTATCATTGTATCCTCAGCACCTGGCACAGTGCCTGGCACATAGTAGGTACTCAATAATTCTTATGACTGAGTAAATGAAGAATAGAAGACAATTCTATTGATGTAATTCTTTGTGAAGGACTACAACTAAACTTATTCCACGTAGATGAAAGTCTCTCTGGAGGCAGAGAGATGATATGCTCATTGATTGACTCATTTGTTCATTCTACAAATATTTACTTACATGGCAGACACTAGGCTAAGCATGAAGTAAACAGTGATAAGGGGAATAGACATAGTTCCTGACCTCAAAGAACTCACAGCCCGGGAGGTAACTGTTGAAGAACTTAACAATCCTCTACTTCTAATATTTTATGTATGACTGTAATTATACATTTGTAATGGTGCTGTAATAGAAGGTTCTCATGACTATTTTCTTGATTCTCATACAGATGTTGTATCCAATATATAGATAAAGAAACAGATACTTAAAAAGTTATGCTTTGTATTTCATTTAATTTAAGAAATATTTATTGAGTGCCCACTGTATGTCAAATATTTCTCTAGGAGTTGGAGACACAGAAATGAACAAGACAGAGAATGATCCTTCTAGTGAAGATGGTGGGAGGGAGCTGGTAAACAATAAACAAGTAAGTTTAAAAAATCTGGTAAGTATTACAGAATAAACAAACAGATTGACGCAAGTAGAAAGTGACTATAGAGAGGGAATTCAAGGAAGGACTTTCTTAAGGTTGTGACATAGAAACTGAAAAATAAAGAGTTAGGGGAGGGGAGTGGAGCAAGACGGCAGAATAGAAGCTCCACCGATTGTCTCCCCCCAACAAGGACACCAATTTAACAACTACACAAAAAAAGCACCTTCATAAGAACAAAAAATCAGGTGAGCACTCACAGTATCTGGCTTTAACTTCACATAACTGAAAGAGGTACTGAAGAGGTAGGAAAAACAGTCTTCAATCACCAACACCACTCTTTCCCCATTCTCTGATAGTGGTGGCATGGTGCGGAGAGCATTTCTGTGCACTTGAGAAAGGGATTGATTCAGTGCTGCCCTATTATAGCAGAAAACAAAACTGGACCAAATTCAGCTGATGCCCACCCACAGAGAGAGCATTCCAATCAGCCCTAGCCAGAGGGGAATGGCAGATACCAGCGGTCTGAACTTGAGTGCCCACAAACCTTGCCACTGTGAGCTAAAGTGCTCTTGGGACCTAAATAATCATGAAAGGCAATTTGAAAAGATTGAAAGGACTCACCTGAACTCCTAGCTGAGTCCTAATGTGGAACTGGGCCCAGAGCCAGTGGAATGGGGGGACATGTGACCTACTGAGACACTGGCAGGGGCAACCAAGAGAGTGCTGGCATCACCCCTCCCCTAACCTCAGGCTGCACAGCTCATGGCTTCAAGACTCCTTCCCTCTCCTTAAGGAGAAGAGAGGGAAGAGTGGGGAAGACTATGTCTTGCATGTTGGATACCAGCTCAGCTACAGCAGGATAGGGCACCAGCCAGAGTCGTGAGGCCCCCCTTTCCAGGCCCCAGCTTCTGGATGACATTTCTAGATACATGCTGCACCAGAAGGGAACCTGCTGCTTTGAAGGGAAAGATCTAGTCCTTCAAAGGATTCATCAACTGCTAAGTGAAGAGCCGTTGGGCCCTGAATAACCAGCAGCAATACCCAGGTACTACGTCAGGGGGGTGAGACTCTGAGACTCGCTGGCCTCAGGTGAGACTCAGCACATTCCCAGATGTAGTGGTTACATGATGAAATTCCTCCCCTGGTTACAGCTTGAGAAAAATGGAGGCAAAAGTAAAGGAGACTTTGTCTTGCACCTTATGTACTGGCTTGGCCACAGAAGGTTAGGGCACCAGGTGGGCTCTTGGGTTCCATGACTCCAAGACTTGGCTCTTGGATGACATTTCTGGACCTGCCCTGGGTCAGAAGGGAGCCCACTGTCTTGAAGGGTGAGTCCCAGGCCAGGCAGCATTCACCATAAGCTGACTTATGAGCCCTTGGGCCTTAAGGGAACATCAGTGGTAGTCTGGTAGTACTTCTTGTGGGCCTGTGGTGGTAGTGGCCATGGTGTGAGGCTCCTCTGACTTTGGAAAGGGAGAGAAGAGTGGGAAGGACTGCATCTTGTGATTTGAGTGCCAGCTTAGCCTCAGTACAATAGAATACCTGGTAGACTTCTAAGGTTTTTGACTCTAGTTCCTGGCTCCAAGATGGCAGCTCTGGACTCACCCAGGTCCTGAAAAAGATTGCCATCATGAAAGGATGGACACAGACCTAGATGGCTTTGCCACTTGCTGATTGTAGAGGTTGCAAGCGATAGCCAGGGAGTGGTTACAGCAGGCCTTGGGTGAGACCCAGTGCTGTGCTGGCTTTAGATCCGACCCAGCACAGTTCCGGTATCAGTGCCCACAGGAGAGCTTGTATCACTCCACCCCCAGCTCCAGTTGGCTCAGAACAGAGGAGAGAGAGAGAGAGAGAGAGAGAAAGAGAGAATCTGTTTGTTTGGGAGAAAGTAAGGGAAGAGAATGAGAGTCTCTGCCTGGTAATCCAGGGAAATCTTCTGGACCTTTCCAAGACCATCAAGGCAGTACCTCTGTGAGTCTGCAAAGAAGCACAATATTAAATGGCGTGTGGTGCCCCTTAACACAGATTCAGCTTAGATCACAATACCCACATCATTTCAAACATCTGGAAAGACTTCCCAAGAAGGATGAATATAAACAAGCCCAGAATGAGAAGACTACAATAAATCCCTGACACTTTAATGCTCAGACACAGACAAATATCTACAAGTTTTAAGACCATCCAGGAAAACATGACCTCACCAAATAAACTAAATAAAGAACCAGGGACCAATTCTGGAGAAACAGAGATATTTTACCTTTCAGATAGAGAATTCAAAATAGCTGTGTTGTGGAAACTAAAAGAAATTAAACATAACACAAAAGGGATTCAGAATTCTACCAGAAAAATTTTATCAGACAAATATGATAGATAAATTTTATTAGAACCCGGGACCAATTCTGGAGAAATAGGATATCCGATGTTTCAGCAGAGAATTCAAAATAGCTGTGTTGAGGAAACTCAAAGAAATTCAAGATAACACAGAGAAGGAATTCAGAATTTTATCAGACAAATTTAACAAAGAGATTGAAATAATTAAAAAGAATCAAGCAGAATTCTGGAGCATAAAAATGTAATTGGCGTATTGAAGAATGGATCAGATTCTTTTTAATAGCAGAATTGATCAAGCAGGAGAAAGAATCCATGAGCTCGAAGACAGGATATTTTAAAATACACAGTCAAAGGAGATAAAAGAAAAAAACAATAGGAAGAATGAAGTATGCCTTCAGAATCTGGAAAGTAGACTCAAAAGAGCAAATCTAAGAGTAATTGCTTGTAAAAAGGGGTAGAAAAAGAGATAAGGGCTGAAAGTTTATTCAAAGACATAATAACAGAGATCTTCCCAAACCCAGAGAAAGACATCAATTTCCAAGAACAAGAAGGTTATCAAACACCAGGCAGATTTAACCCAGAGGATACTACCTCAAGGCATTTAATAATCAAACTCCCAAAAGTCAAGAATAAGGAAATAATCCTAAAAGCAGCAAGAGAAAAGAAACAAATAATATACAATGGAGTTCCACTATATCTGGCAGCAGACTCTTCATTGGAAACCTTATAGGCCAGGAGAGAGTGGCATGACACATTTAAAGTACTGGAAGAAAAAAAATTTTAACCCAGAATAGTATATCTGGCAAAAATATCCTTCAAACATGAAGGAGAAATAAAGACTTTCCAAGACAAACAAAAGCTGAGGGATTTCATCAACACCAGACCTGTCCTACAAGAAATGCTGAAGGGAGTACTTCAATGACAAATAAAAGGATGTTAATGAGCATTAAGAAATCCTCTGAAGGTAGAAAACTCACTGGTAATACAAAAGCACGCAGTAAAACACAGAATATAATAACACTGTAACTGTGGTTTGAAAACTACTTTTATCTCAAGTAGAAAGACTAAACAATGAACAAATCAAAAATAATAACTACAACAACTTTTCAAGACACAGGTAGTATGGTAAGCTATAAATAGAAACAACAATAGTTAAAAAGTTGGGGGACAAACTTAAAGAGTAGAGCCTTTAGTAGTTTTCTTTTTCTTGTTTGTTTGCTTATACCAACAGGGTTAAGTTGTTATCAGTTTAAAATCATGTGTTACAAAAATAGTATTTGCAAGCCTTGTGGTAACCTTAAACAAAGAAATATACAATGAATACACAAAAAATAAAAAGAAAGAAATTAAGTCACATCACCAGACAAAAATCACCATCACTAAAAGGAAGAAAGGACAAAAGGCAGAAAAGAAAGAAAGAAAGAAAGAAAGAAAGAA
The DNA here is from genome assembly GCF_000001405.40 of Homo sapiens. Taxonomy (NCBI): domain Eukaryota; kingdom Metazoa; phylum Chordata; class Mammalia; order Primates; family Hominidae; genus Homo; species Homo sapiens. The sequence goes on along the minus strand of NC_000012.12, from coordinate 43,707,413 downwards.
AGAAAGAAAGAAAGAAAGAAAGAAAGAAAGAGAAGTACAAAAAACAACCAGAAAACAAATAATCAAAGGCAGGAGTAAGTCCTTACTTATCAATAATAACATTGAATGTGAATGGACTAAACTCCCCAATCAAAAGACATAGACTGGCTGAATGGATGAAAAAACAATGCCCAATGATGTGTTGCCTACAAGAAACACACTTCACCTATAAAGACACACATAGACTGAAAATAAAAGGATAGAAAAAGATATTCCATGCCAATGGAAATCAAACAAAAGAAGGAGTAGCTATACTCATATCAGACAAAATAGATTCAAGACCAAAACTATTGACAAAAAAGGCTACTATATAATGATAAAGCGGTCAGTTCAGCAAGAGGATGTAATTGTAAATATATATTTACCCAACAATGGAGCACCCAGATATGTAAAGCAAATATTATTACAGCTGAAGAGAGAGATAGACCTGAATATAATAATAGCTGGAGACATCAATACTTCACTTTCAGCATTGAACAGATCTTCGAGACAGAAAATCAAAAAAGAAGCATCAAACTTAACAGATATTTACAGAACATTTCCTTCAACAGCTGCAGAATAAACATTCTTTTCCTCAGCGCATGAATCATTCTCAAGGATAGATCATATGTTAGGTCACAAAACAAGTCTTAAAGCATTAAAAAAGTTGAATTATCTAGCATCTTCTCTGATTACAATGGAATAAAACTAAAGATCAATAACAAGAGGAATGTTGGAAACTATACAAATACATGGAAATTAAACAGTATGCTCCTGAATTACCAGTGGGTCAATGGAGAAATTAAATAGGAAATTGAAAATTTTCTTGAAATAGCAATTGTAAGGCATTGAACTCAGTGCTGTCCTGTTAGACCAAACTCACTTGATGTCTACCCACAGACAGAGCATTTAAACCAGCTGTAGCCAGAGGGACATCACAGATCCCTCTGGACTTGAGTTCCCACAAACCTTGCCACTGAGGGCCAAAGTGCCCCCACTCTCTAAGTAAACCTGAAAGGCAGTCTAGACCATAAGGACTGCAGCTCTTAGGCAAGTCCTAGAGCACTTGGCCCAGAGACAGTGGACTGGGGTTACATGTGACATACTGAGACACTAGCTGGGGCAGCCAAAGGAGTGCTGGCATTACTCCTCCCCTAAGTCCAGTCTGCACAGCTCAGAGCTCCAAGAGACATTCTCCTGTTTGAGAAGAGGAGAGGGAAAAGTGGGGAGGACTTTATTTTGCATCTTTGATACCAGCTCAGCCACAGAAGGGTAGGGCACTGGTCAGAATCATGAAGCCCCTTTTCCAGGTCCTAGCTCCCAGATGACATTTCTAGACACACTCTGGGCCAGAAGGGAACCTGCTACCTTGAAGGAAAGGACCCTGCCCTACCAGACGAGATTGGGCCACTATACTCCAGCCTGGGTGACACTAGCGAGACCCTATCTCAAAAAAAAAAAAAAAGGACTCCATGAAGAAACTATTAGAACTGGTAAACACATTCAGTAAAGTTGCAGGATATGAAATCAACATACAAAAATCAGTAGCATAGCATTTCTTTCTTTCTTTTCTTTTTTAGTTTTAAGGAGCAGGGAGTTTAATAGGCAAGAAAGAAAGAAAGAAGGGGGAAGAAAAAATAAGAAGCTCCCCTGTACAGAGACAGAGGGTTGGGGGCTCCAAAGCCGACAGACAGAACCCCACCTACCATTGCCCATATGCAGAGGCTGGAGGAGGTGGTGTCTGTTTTTCATACGGCTCAGGGGATTGGTTTGACTAGGCATGTCATTCACATAGCAGGTGAAAAAGCTGGCCCTTTCACCCTAACCTTTTAATATTGCAAATGGAGGGCGCCATGATGTTCTCCACACGTGGGGATACGTGAGGGAAGCCATGTTGTCAGGAACATGTGGGGCAAGGGCAAGAAGGCCGTGGGAATCTCCATGTTGGGTGGACCCAGTTTCTAACAGCTGGCATTTGCATATTAAAGGTTGCTGGCCTGGCTCTAAGAGCCGGGGCTTTACAAGAAACCTTTCCGGAGATGCTTTAAAAAATGAAAACTTCCCAAGACCGCTTTTTCTATCTGCCTAAAATAATTTCTTAAAAATTTCTTATTAACTCTTACAACATTCCTCCCTGTGGAGATGCCACACTGACTGCTGTTAGGGGGTTTTGGGCGATGACTCTTTCTGGCTACTTCCTGCTGAAAAGGGGTGTCAAATGGGGAACAGCAGCTAGGGCTCCTCCTGGGGTTGATTTAAGGGTCCTTGGAAGAATGGCATGTCCATGTGTGGTTCAGTTTGCGGCACCATTTGGAGTTTGATTGCTTCTAGGCGAGAAGAAACAATTCAAGTTACAGTATTGAGTATACAAGGTCTAAATATTAATACAAGACATATAAGCAAGAGAGGGCTTAATAAAGTGACTAACCAATTCCATAAAGAAGACTGGAATTCATTAAAGAGGGATTGTAGCCACCCAGGGCTGGAGTCGGCATTTTCCCTGAGCCTGTTAATAATTTTGATTTGATTTTTAAGTACTTGTAGATTTTCCTTTACTTTACTGGAGGTGTTAATCCAAAAGCAGCATGTTTCATTTAAAAGTGCATCAGTAAATTCAATAAAAAGTCCTGGCAGACTTAATGATAGTAAAACTTTTATGCTTCATTTTTGTTAGTAACTATTATCCCGGTTATAAGGTTAATAATTAAGCAAAATATGACAGCAATGGAAACTCTCTGTCCAATATTTTAGTTAGAAGGTGCTACCGTGTATAACCCTATTGCAAATAGTCGAGTGAGTATAACAATTCCCACAAGTGTGGTGTAGTAAATAATTTCCATTTAAAAATTTACTTGCCAAGATATAGAATTTTCCTTTGCAGGGGGTCTATGAAGTTTCTTGGTTTTATTTTCCTAAAAAAATAAATCTTTGGGTTATGGGCACCCTATTCACTTTCATTACCTGGCAGAGTTTGAAAGATAATTGCCAGAACTAGTATATTGATCCGGATATTTACGTTACCCATTCCTTCTTGTTTCTTCCAAGCTTCAGGAGATCGCCACTTGATTCACAGGAATAAGCAGGGTTAGTCTAAAATGCAGGCAAGCAGCTTAAAAACAATTAATGACTAGGATTTAATGACAAACGTATGATAAGCTTTGAAGCAAATTTTTTCTCTCCGGTCCCATTTTTGGTAAAAACTAATTATGAATAAACTTCAGTTTTATACTTGGCCTGATTATTTGCATAAAGTGCAGCAAGAATGGTTATTTTTACATAGGCCTTTTGGATTGGCTTTGATGAAACTCTGTTTCACAAGGAATCTCAGATAAGACCTTTAAAGCTGAGCCCAACCATGGGTTTGTATTCTCTAGTACCTGTGAGCTGAGTAATCCTCTCCTCTGGAGGTCCCAAGATAAACTCAGAGCTCCCAGACCTGTTAGAAAGTGACACTCTTTACTGACCACAGGTTAGGAATCCTGTGTGGGGACTGTGTAGACAAGGTATGAGGCCGGTTTTCCCCAAGGGGCTTTTATTGGCTTTGCATGTCAAGCTTGATTCCTTAAAGGGAAACACACCGTTTCAGTTAAAGCCTTGGTAAAATAACCAGTTTTTCCAATTGTGTCCTGTTGACAAAGAAAAATGGATTCTTATTGCACTGTTGCGATCAAGTATATTGCCATAGGTTAAGAGTACTTACAGGTAGTCTCCAAATTTTAGAGGAACCAGGCAGAGAAAAATTGAACATGCCCCAAATTTTATTCACAGTAGTATACCTTACTCAATTATTAAAGGCCATAAATAGTTTAAAATAAGTTTCCTTGACTCTGAAAAACAAAATAAGGATCAGCAATATTCCAAGGAAAAGTTGAAAAGGTTGCTTAAACTTTTTGAGTAGAGTCCACTTAGTTAACTCTTGTTTTGCTTGATATTTGTGAACATGTCAGTTCTTTAGGAGTCCTGTACATTCTTTATTCCAGTGTTACAATCTTCAAAGCTATTAAAAACCTGCATTTGAGAACACCTGTTAAAGTCCTTAATATGGCTTGATTATAAACCATCTTTTGAGAAGGTACAAAGCAAGACAACAATTGTCTGTGAATGGCAACATTTCCAGGATAGTTAACAGTTAAAAACATGACTGACAAAGAAGTTTGTTTATCTCCGTGGTTTACAATAACTTTACCCTTAATTATGATTGATAGCGTATACTTAGACATTAGAATTTTAGAAATTCCATACAATATTTGAACATATATTAGTATTATTCACCAAAATATAACTTAAAGAAGACTGAACATCATTTTGGCAATCTCACGTGACTAAATATGTCAAATAATCCTGTTTATTTCTTTTTTAAATGTTTCAGGGACACTCTGATCCATCTAAAAAGCCAGGCATCAGGAAGGACAATTTCCAGATTGCCATAAATTATTTTGCCAAAATGATTACTCAAAAGGCAAAAACCTTTCATTAGCCTTTACTATGACATGAAAATCCTGTTCAAAGCCAAATTTTACCCTCGCATTAGTTTATTAATGTTAACCCCAGTTTGTTTAAATGAAACCTTATAGATCATTTCTTTTTATTTTAATCAATTTGACGATGAGGTGAAATCTTTACAAACCTTTTATAACCCTTGTACTGAAGGGCAGATTAATGTCTTAAAGCCCTCCTTGCTATGCTTTTATTTCAATGCTCAATTTATGAAAAGACCATATAGATACTATGGGAGAGGACAGTATAGTGCCTTTACCATGGATTTCATTGCAAGGCAACCCAAAGTTAATTGGCTTATTTTGTAATCAGCCCATCCCTGATGGGACTCTCATCTCCCAGTCATGGGTGGGGATGTTTCCCTATTTTCCAGATGGCCAAGAACATGCTTCTCTGATTTATAACTACTAATAGCCATCCCTTACAGTGTATTTTCTACCTAGTTATTACACACCAAAGCTCTCTCATAATGCGAAGTAATTTCTGATACCCCCAAAACTGAAAACTGTCAGATAACACAATGCAAAACAGAACAGAGCCTTTGATTTTGAGAGGGATCTATCTCCTTTTAATTCCTGGGTTTTCGTGAGGAAAACAGAGGTTTTTTTCCCAAATCAGGGTCTGGAGTCTGTTGCATCTCCTCTGTTTTTCTCCAGGAGTCCCATACTACCAGAAGTTACTTTAGGGCCTCTTATGCATGCATTAAGAGTGATAAGACAAAAAATGGAGAAAAATAATTCAGTCAACTGAGAAGAGCCTTTTTCCAGAAAAACAAGATCCAAGAAGAGAAAAACATAAAGGCCTTTTAAATATGCCTATAACATGAATATCCACTCTTAATTAAGCTAAGCATTCTTTAAGAAAATCCTTTTAAATCCCTTGTTACTTGACTTTAGCCACGCCAAGCAGTTAAGATTTTTGGCTTTTGAATTTTACAAAAAATAACCTCACAGGTGAAACCAACAAGGCTTAATTAAGTTATGACTTAACCACAATTGTACAAGGTATTTTTAAAGGTGTGATAGGCAGGTTTTGAAACTGTCATTGCAAATTTGTGACAGTGGAAGAGATTGGACCCAAACAATTCCATTTTGTTTCCAACCCCTAAGCTGTATTTGCCCATCCTGGGCATAGGCTGAAGCAACTTTGGGAGGAGCCTGGTTTACAGTTCATAGTCTAAAACAAAGATGATAACAGGCACTTCCCAAGATACATTTCCTTTTTTCCTGGGGACCAGACCAATGAACTAGGCACAAGATTAGAAACCATGGCCCAGAAGCCATGCAGCTGGAGGCTACAAGATTTTTGACCCTCCCTAAACTGCTCTCAAGATCAGTGCTTAAGATATTTTGTAAACCCTGCCCTTGATGGATCAGCTGGCACCACCCAGATTGACAAACTGGCTTATCTGATTTAGCACAAGAAGAGGCTACTTCCTGTTGAAAAATGGCTGAGACTAAAACAAAGTATTGCCACATGGTTACAGATTATGTTCCCAAGGACATGAAATAAGATGGAGGCCTGTGGTCAAGTTCGTTACTGATCATCTTGCTGAGTTGGCTTGAAGAGCAGGCCCATGGGATCCTGGGCCTGGTTTCTAATCTTATCCCTTTTACCAGTTTGCACAGGTAAAGAGAAGCCAAAAGCCCTAATGGTAAGAAATTTTTACCCTTTTGCCAGCATGTCAGGCTTCTGGGTTCCCTTCCCCCAGCTCAACTCTAAGCCAAGCATTTTTAAGGTTTGGAAACTTAACTTCTCCCAGGTTGGAAGAGCATTATAAAAGAGATAAAAACCATTTTAACCCATGAAAGAAGGAAAAACACCACAAAAAGGAGTTCCAATTAGGGTTTTTAAGAGTTATTGCCTCTTTTCCTATTGGGAATGGTGTTTCTCCTATTTCTTTGCCTTCCCTATTTTCTCTTTTCCCTTTTGGCCTACTACAGGAGGCATATTGCTCATGACCAAAATTTTCTCCTGCTGTCAGAGCTGCCTGTTTTAACCGTAGTTAGGGTTTGGCTTAGGAGCAGCATAACATTCCTGCGTGAGAGGTCAAATACCTGAGTTAAATTTTGGAAAGCTTCTATACACCTATCAGGGTCATCAGAAAAATGACCCAAGTCTCCCTCTACTTGCCTAATGTCCTGCAATGAGAAGAGAACATGAAGGGGCCCCAAATAAGGGGGACCCTCAGATGATTTCCCTGAAAGTTCCCTTTTTTAATTTTGAGCAACTATTTTCCCTGGGCCTGCCCGATATGGCCACAAAAGAAAATAAGCCACTTTTTCTTCAAAGTTTCAAGATTGAAGGAGTCCCAGTGCTTCAAAATACACTCCAGGGGAGTACATGTTGAAGACGATCTGCTACCCATCTAGAAAAAGAAGTGAGAAGAAAAGCGTCCTTTTAGTCTCTTTCCTTTCAGTATGTGATCCAGGATGGAGGAGAAAGTAGTAGGAGGCATCCGTTCCCCCAACTATTTTCTCTCCTTCTTTCCTGGATTCCCAGCACCCGTTTAAATGTGCCGCCCATGACTGCAGGTGTGACCCTCCAAGCCATGGCACCAGAGGAACTGAGTTTGGACCTTAGTCGTGCTGTCCCCAAGCAATCAGTTCTCTGCCTTTTATTTCCCTTTGACCTTCTAGAGTTGTGTTGCCTTGTGCCTTTCAAAACAATGAATTTCAAGAAAAGCCACGTAATTGGGCAAGACCCCTTTAAGGGAGAGGGCGCGCTAGACTGAATTCTATATCCTGCTATTATAGGCCATGCTAAAGCATTTACCCATTAAAAAATGGTTCCGGTTAACTTCCGGACTTAAAATCCCTTACTAATTAAGTACTCTCTTAATAGGAGACAAAATTGATTCCTTAAAGGAACTTAGGAACCAAATAGCCGTTTCCCTGCCAGTGGGACAATATTAAGACTAAAATTTGGCTATGGAAGACATTTTACTCCTAACTGCTAAAGGCAGAAACCTCCTGTTCCCAGAAGAGCCTAGATTCTTATTTACTTCCATGAGGTGATGTTGTTGGCTTAGAAATGCTATGTGCTTGCCAGAGAAATGGTAGCAAGTAAACTTACTGTAGGGGAAAACGGGAAAACTCTATTCCCAGACTGTAAAAATCCTTGCACATTTCACACAGAGAAACAGTAAGAGGCTGCGGATAGAGAAGGAAGAAGAGTTATGGGACAGGACAGTTGAGGTTCTCTGCCAAAACCCAGGATGGGCTGTCAGAGGCTGTGTCTGGTCCAGAGGCCTTTGAATCACACCAGGGTGTGCCCTGGCCAGAAATTCTCAGTTGCCTCTGAACTTTTCCCAGCCTCGTGCAATGGCAAGGTTCCCCATGAAAAGAAACTAGTTCAAACATGGCCAACATTCCCAATACCCATGGGTAATGGGGGTTCTCCACGTTCTCCCCAGCAAGCCTCACATCCATGACTTAAGTACAGCAGCCAACGCTAAGCATATGTACTAGGCTGACCAATGCCCACTGATTTATTGGATTTATTTAAATATAGAGGCAAAGAGCACTTCGGAATGATAGAACAGATTTTAAGCTTGCTCCCATACTCACCACTCCGATGAAGGCTGTACCTCAGATTCCGAACCAATGCACCAAAAGATATGGCTCTGATGAGTGGAGGAATGCCAGGATCTTCATCTCGAGTTGAATTAGAAAAAACGACACAGGCACAGGAGGAGCAGTTTTAAGGAGCAGGGAGTATAATAGGCAAGAAAGAAGGGGGAAGAAAAAAAGAAGAAGCTCCCCTGTAGAGAGACAGAGGGAGGGGGGCTCCAAAGCTGAGAGACAGAACCCCCTCAGTAGCATTTCTATATGCCAATAGTGAACAATCAGAGAAGAAAATATAAAGTAATGCCATTTACAGTAGCCACAAATAAAATTAAATACCTTGGAGTTAACCAAAGAAGTGAAAGATCTGTTACAAAACTATAAAAGACTGATGAAAGAAATTGAAGAGGGCACCAAAAAATGGAAAAAATATTCCATGTTCATGGATCGGAAGAATCAATATTGTTAAAATGTTCCTACTACCCAAAGCACTCCACAGATTCAATGTAATCCTTATCAAAATACCAATGACATTCTTTACAGAAACAGAAAAAAATTCCAAAAATTTATATGGAACCACAACAGACCAAGAATAGCCAAAGCTATCCTAAGCAAAAAGAACAAAACTGGAGGAATCATATTACCTGACTTGAAATTTTACTACAGAGCTATAGTAACCAAAACAGCACGGTACTGGCATAAAAATAGATACATAATCCAATGAAACAGAATAGAGAACCCAGAAACATATCCACATATCTACAGTGAACTCATTTTTGACAAAAGTACCAAGAATATACACTGGGGAAAAGACAGTCTCTTTAATAAATGGTGCTGGAATAACTGGATATTTACATGCAGAAGAATGAAACTAAACCCCTATCTTTCACCATATACAAAAATCAAATCAAATGGATTAGACTGAAATCTCAGACCTCAAACTATGAAACTACTATAAGAAAACATTGGATAAACTCTCCAGGACATTGGTCTGGGCAAAAATTCCAGCATAGGCAACTAAAGCAAAAATGGATAAATGGGATCACACCAAGTTAAAAAGCTTCTGCACAGCAAAGGAAACAATCAACAAAGTGAAGAGACAACCCACAGAATGAGGGAAAATATTTGTGAACTACCCATATGACAAGGGATTAATAAACAGAATATATAAGGAGTTCAAACAACTTACAGGCAAAAATCTAATAATCTGATTAAAAAATGAGCAAAATATCTGAATAGACATTTCTTAAAAGAAGACATACAAATGTCAAACAGGCATATAAAAAGGTGCTCAATGTCACTGATCATCAGAAAAATGCAAATCAAACTACAGTGAGATATCATCTCACCCCAGTTAAAATGGCTTTTATTCAAAAGGCAAGCAATAACAAATGCTGATGAGGATATGGAGAAAAGGGAACCCTCATACACTGTTGGTGGAAATGTAAATTAGTACAAACACCGTGGAGAACAGTTTGGAGGTTCCTCAAAAAACTAAAAATAGAGTTATCATATGATCCATCTATCCCACTGCTGGGTATGTATCCAAAAGAAAGGGGAATCCGTATATCAAAGAGATATGTGCACTCCCATGTTTGTTGCAGCAGTGTTCACACTAGCCAAGATTTGGAGGCAACCTAAGTGTCCATCAACAGATAAATGGATAAAGAAAATGTGGTACATGTACACAATGGAGTACTATTTAGCCATTGAAAAAAAAGACATCCTATCATTTGCAACAACATGGATAGAACTGCAGGTAATTATGCTAAGTGAAATAAGCCAGGCACAGAAAGACAAACATAACATGTTCTTATGCATTGTAGGATCTAAAAATCAAAGCAATTGAAGTCATGGAGACAGAGTATAAGGATGTTTATCAGAGGCTGGGAAGGGTAGTTGGGGTTGAGAGGGAAGCCGGGATGGTTAGTGGGTACAAAAAATATCTAGAAAGGATGAATAAGACCTAGTGTTTGCTAGCACAACAGGGTGACTCTAGTCAACAATAATTTAATTGCACACTTAAAATGATTAAAAGAGTATAGTTGTATTATTTATAACACAAAGGATAAATGCTTGAGGAGATGGATACCCCATTTTGCATGATGTAATTGCTACACACTGCATGCCTGTATCAAAACATCTCATGTACCCCATATGTATATATGCCTAGTATGTACTGACAAAAATTAAAAGTTAAAAACAAGAAAAGGGAAGTGAAGAGTTAGAACCAGCCATGGGAAAGTCTTCAGAGGGAACATCAAGTTCAAGGCAATTAGCAGGATGTGAGCTTGGCACATTCAAGGAAGAAAAAGGCTAATGTTAGTGGGGCAAGGGGTTACACAGTATGAGATAAGATTCAGAAAGCCAAATCACATTGGGTTTTATAACCCATGGATTATTTTCTGCATGCAACAAGAAGTGACTGAAAAGTTCACACAACTTAATTAGCATGGGTACTCACGGATGAGGATTGTGTGGCATTACATATAAAACAAACTAATTGTGCCTATACTGATTTCAAAGACAATATGGACTCAATAGAGAAATTGTAAGTTATTATCTTCATTATCTGGGGAATTTCTTTAGGCCAATGAATCACCTTGAAGACACTGAATGCTGTCCTTCAGAAGTGTGTGCAAAAGGAGGGTGGGAGCGGGTAATGCCCAGGAGACACTGAGGGTATTGCTCCTTAGGAAAATATTTGAGAAGCCCCCTTATCAGAGGGAAAAGGATGTAATCAGAACATTTGGATCTGGGGGATTTCAAAGAAAAACACTCCCAGATCTTTAGGGAGGGAAGAAAGAGTGATTCTGTGTCTTTAAGTACTTAATGTGGTAGAGAATGGAAACAGTCCTATGAGACCCTGGGAACCAAGTATCGGGCAATTTCAGCGGAGTTTAACCCCTGATGAATCAGCTCATCCTTCCTCATGACCTGCACAGCCTAAGCAGGGGTGTGTGTTACCGCTAGATATTCACTATCTGCCAGGCTATAGGACCAGCTGTCAACAGCAACACCATGTAGCAGAAAGAAGCAACTGTGGAACCAGCTGCCTTTCTGCTTGAGTGCAAAAGGCAGAATGAACCTCTCTTCTACTGGGTAAAGCCAGGGATTTTGGAAAATTCAGGGGAAAGGTGGAGCTCAAAGAAAAATGTTGAACTTACTACTAAAATGGCAGGCACGTGCTTAAGCAATCAATTGGGAAAATAAAAAAGAAGTGACCCCAAGTTTGGGTTGTACCCCAAGTTTGTAGAGCAATTTTTAAGTGTGACATATACCACTCATCTCAGGAATATTGCCTTGTCTGGCAGGATGAAAACAACATTTTTGGTACAAAAAGTTACATAAATCATTTGAGATTCAGTAGCTCTTTCAGGGTTGCAAAATGAAGCTGGCACAAGAGTCTGTGCTCTTATCCAATAGTATTTTTTTTTTTTTGGTCTATCCATTAATTAAAAAAAATACTGTTGTAATTTTTAAAAATACTATTGTCTTTATTTGGCATACAGTTTTTATTAAATTTTGGTTTCTGGTTAGTATATTTTATATTCAGTCATTTTCACCATTGCTCAAATAGTAACTAAGGAGTTAGCCAGGTCTGCTGCCTTTGAGAACCTTCCATAAAGACTCTCTATTGTGGCTGTTTATTATTATTATTTGCTACTCAAATCTTGTTTTTTTTTTTCCTAATGGTACCTTGCTTTTGCTCTTTTTATGTTAACTCTGCTTCATTATCTGTATTCTTGACGTGATGAAAATTCAGGTTCATATCTGAGCAGTGGTGGTCATGTGGAATTAGAAAGACCTTTGGGGGTTATCTGGTTTCACTTTTCCCATCCCTTTTCTTCAGCTCTCTCTTAGGTCCTATGATGCTCATATCATGTTTTCTTTTACTTAAGTTAGCCAGGTTTGGTTTCTGTTGCTTGTTACTTAAGTATCCGAACTAATACATAAGTCATGACAGGGTCTTCTCTAACTTCCCATTCCCATAAATAAGTCCTCTAGGGAAGTAAGTCCTGCCAGGAAAATACATAGCTAAGCTGATCATGAATGTTAATCATGGTTTTAATAGTGATATGTATTATTCCTGCCCTATATTGTATGCATTTTCATAAGAAATGTTTTAGTGGAAAAAATATGTTGGTCATAATATAGTAAGGTCTAAATCAAAAGATGCCCAGAGACCATCTTGAACAATATTTCTCACTCTTGTAGTACACAGAGATAATATTCACAGCTCACATTTTGGACAGGAGCCAAAAGAGCAAAGAAGAAGGGTGCAGAGAGATAAAGTGAGCAGGAATTTATTCCAGACGTTTGCTGCCTAAAAGCACCTTAAAGTTTTGGTAAACTTAATTTTAACATAGAGACAGATTCCTATTTTTTTTAATGGTATTTTATATTTGTATTTCCAGTTTGACTTTTTTTTTTTTTTTTTGAGGCAGAGTCACACTCTGTCCCCCAGGCTGCAGTGCAGTGGTGCAATCTCGGCTCGCTGCAACCTCTGCCTTCCAGGTTCAGTTGATTCTCCTGCCTTAGCCTCCTGAGTACTGGGATTACAGGCGCCCGCCACTATGTCCGGCTGACTTTTGTGTTTTTGGTAAAGATGGGGTTTCACCATGTGGGCCAGGCTGGTCTCGAACTCCTGACCTCAGGTGATCTGCCCACCTCGGCCTCCCTAAGTGCTGGGATTATGGGGGTGGGTCACCGCACCTGGCCCAGTTTGACTTTTGACTTTTCAAAATTCCCACAAAATAAATACAGATTATACAATGCAGTTTTTATACTTTGTAAGACTATTTTGTAGTAAGGCTTAACAGTTTTTTTAATAGTATAAAAAAGTCTTAAGATTAAAACTTTCTTTTTATAATTTCTTTCAAGGCCAAGAAACACAAGTCTTTTTGAAACTGAATATAATTTTGTTAAACTTTAAATCTGAAATAAGCATTAAAAGCAGGAAGTAATATTCTAAAATAAGATTATTTACTAATAGTGTTATTTTTGTCTAAATATAAAATACTTTATTAAAAATTATGGTTTATTTATTGTGGTTTACATTTTCTTTTATTGATTTTTTGGTTTCTGGTTGGTGTATCCCAGAATCATTTGTTTCAAAATATCCTTCAAATAGTAAATAAAGACAATTTTAGGACCTAAGGTCTAATGTTGGAATTGAATAATTATTTACTATATTCAATAGAAATAAATACTAATAATTATTATATAGCTTAATGAAAGCAGTATTTATAATTTTATTAAAGTTTATTTTTGAGCTTTTTCTTTAACATAAATGGGACTAAGTAATCTTAATATCTATGCTTTTTTTTGCCTCATTGTTTTCCTGTTCTTCTATTTTTATTCATCATTCTTATTAGCCAATTCCAACCATTCTATTTTTTTTTTTTTTTGAGACGGATTCTCGCTCCGTCGCCCAGGCTGTAGTGCAGTGGCGCGATCTCGGCTCACTGCAAGCTCCGCCTCCCGGGTTCACGCCATTCTCCTGCCTCAGCCTCCCGAGTAGCTGGGGCTACAGGCGCCCGCCACAACTACCGGCTTATTTTTTGTATTTTTAGTAGAGACAGGGTTTCACCGTGTTAGCCAGGATGGTCTCGGTCTCCTGACCTTGTGATCCACGCATCTCGGCCTCCCAAAGTGCTGGGATTACAGGCGTGAGCCACCGCGCCCGGCCAATTCCAATCATTATTATAAATGTTTTTTCTCTTCTAAGAGGTCTTCTAACACTATCCCAGGATAAAGTTCCCTGTCTCTAACAGTCATCTAATATGGGATCACAGTCTCCTTTGTGATAAGTTTTTTGTCTTATTATTCAGTATTCCATGTATTTTACCTCAAAGTAGATTGTAAATTCCCTGAAATCAGGGACTGAGGCAGTATACACAAATCGTTTAGAATCATAGCCTCTATAGCTGTATGCCTTGGGTGAATGTCAGCTCTGTCACTATTTTCTTATGGGCATAGGACTCAATTTCTCTAAGTAGTTTCCCCTTTTGCTTAAAAATACTCTAAAAGAAATACCTGCTTTTAGTTTTCTTTTTGTTTTTTTTTTGAGACGGAGTCTCGCTCTGTCGCCCAGGCTGGAGTCCATCTCTGCTCACTGCAAGCTCCGCCTCCCGGGTTCACGCCATTCTCCTGTCTCAGCCTCCCGAGCAGCTGGGACTGCAGGCACCCGCCACCACGCCCAGCTAATTTTTTTGTATTTTTAGTAGAGATGGGTTTTCACCGTGTTAGCCAGCATGGTCTTGATCTCCTGACCTCGTGATCGCCTGCCTTGGCCTCCCAAAGTGCTTGAGCCACAGTGCCCGGCCACCTGCTTTTATTTTTCAATAACAGTAAGCATCAGTTTATCCAGAACATTAGCACGATTTATTGGATGTATTTCTGATGATATTCTATTAAATATATGTTACCCTCACTTCATAGATGAAGATTATTTTGCTCAAATAAGCCAAGAACTTCATGAGATGATATTGTAGGAGGTGAAACCAAGGCTTGAACCTAAGGCTATGACCCATGCCAAAGTACTTTGCATACTGAAAATGCTAAATTAGGTGATTAGCTAGCGTGGTAACTCTCACTTGTAGTGTCAGCTCCTCAGGACTGAGACAGGAGAATTACTTGAGCCCAGGAGTTCGAGGCTGTCATGAGCTATGATTACACCACTGCATTCCAGCCTGGTGACACAGTGAGACCCTATCTCTAATAATAATGGTAATAAACAATAAATTTAAAATAAATAAATTAGGTGATTGATGAGTTGTCCCTTCTTCAAATCTTTGCCTACTTAGGCTTTCTTACGTGTAGACAGTTGTTAATTTCTTTGAGTTTTTCCCTAGTTTATTGCCAACTCCCCTCTTCCAACCTTAAGAATTTTAAGAATAAGGTAGGGCTAATTATCTATCAGCTACCATTTTATTTCTAATCAAATTCTGAAACTAATTTGAAATTTCCTGCTTGACTTGCAAAGTCAGTCTCTTTTCCTTCATTTTGTGCTTTCCAACCTCATCTTTTCTTAGATCACCTCTCTGTGACTGCATAGCTGAGTCACTCTTTCCTGTTCACTGCTCCATTGCTTACTTCCTTTCTCCCCCCAAGCCATTACATCTGTCCTTCTTCACAAAATGTATTTCTTGTCGGTTGAATCTGTTTTTAGTTCAAGTCTTCAATCATCCTTCATTGCCTGGAACACTTCTGCTTGTCTGAAATCCCATTTGTGATTTTACCCCTTTACTTTAGATTTCTTCTTCTTTTTCTTTTTTTCTTTTAGGAATCTTTTTCTATTTATTTTCTTATAGAATTATCTCTTCATCTATACTGCTTGTTCAGATGACTATGTTTTTTATGCTGGCCATAGCAGAACAAGTTAAATTTTATCTGTTAATCACATATGTATTAATTAGAGTTCACTCTATAATTTTAACTATGCATGGATGGAAAAAATCTATTTCTACCTCTTTTTATAAATCTAAATTTAAAAACTAGCATTTTATATATTTTTTAATGATAATGAAATTTCAGGAGTAAGTAAAATTTGGGTAAGATAGAGATTTCTGTGGAAACTCTGGTAGACTTCAATCCGACATTGAGGTACATAAGCAGATTTGGGTGTAAATGAGTTCAGTGTCTGTTAAAAAGCTTGAGTATCTCTGTATGTTGATGTAGAGAACTAATTATACTGCCTATTCCTGCATACTGATTGCTTTTTTCTCATAGCAGCAATCACAGTGGCTGTTATGACCCAAGGTAGCTCAACCTCTTGGGTTGAAGGGTTTGTCCCCTCAGATCTAGTGCCTAAGAGCAAAACTCCATATTCTCACATGTGAAACCAAATGTCTTATTTCAGCTTTTCAGCAATAATTTAGATTGTGCATTATCCTTTTGAAGACACAAGACTAGTCAGCAACATTTAATTCTACCAAAGTAAAAATGTCATATCAGAGTCTCCATGAAATTGACCCAACTATTGATTTTAAGAGATCCTAATTTGACAATTTTATAATCCTGTATTTGCTAAAACTCTATCATGCTCATAAATTAGCTCAAGAAAGTCTAATATACCTAGAGTTTGGATCCCTACATCAAGAATTGCCTTATTCTTCATTCTCTTAGTTCTTCATCCAAGTGAAAGGTATCTGAAATTTCATGCCAGTCTCTTGCTATGAGACAAATTCCAGCCCTGGGCTAAACACATAGAAAGCCCTAGGCTCACTGAATCTTTAGCTCAATAATAAACCTCATTTATATTGTTGATTTCCCATGCCTGTTACTAAAGCCACCTACTTGGAATCTGAGCGTTGCTTTTTGGCTTGATTTTCTGATCTTG
Source organism: Homo sapiens (assembly GCF_000001405.40). Taxonomy (NCBI): domain Eukaryota; kingdom Metazoa; phylum Chordata; class Mammalia; order Primates; family Hominidae; genus Homo; species Homo sapiens. The sequence continues at coordinate 43,690,988 of NC_000012.12, read as the reverse complement.
CATTGCCCAGAAACTCTAATTTTCAGCCTCTGTCTTCCAGCATGGCTTTAAGTCCTCCCAGATAACTGACCTACCTGATTTCTAATTAGATTCCAAGGAACTTGCCAACTCCAACCTGTCTTTGTTAATATTCTTGATTTGGATCTTTGCCTGCTTAGATATTCTTTAATCATAGCCTTAACATTTACTATCTCATAGCCAAATTCTTAATTCTGTCCCTGAAACTTCCAGCCTTTTTTGTTTCAATCTAAATTCTGGTGAAATATCCTGGTCAGTCATTCAGCAACTTGAACATTATGTATAAGGGAAGAAATATTGTCTTTCTCAACTCATAGCCTTTATAATTTATAATTTAATCACAAGGGTGTCACAAGGATTTGGTATACAGATTATTTTGTCACTGAAGTAATAAGCATAGTACCTGATACGTAGTTTTTTGATCCTCACCCTCCACCCTCAAGTAGGTCCCGGTGTCTGTTGTTCCCTTCTTTGTGTCCATGTGTACTCAATGTTTAGCTCCCACTTATAAGTGAAAATATGCAGTATTTGGTTTTCTGTTCCTGTATTAGTTCACTTAGGATAATGGCCTCCAGCTTCATCCATGTTGTTGAAAAGGACATAATTTAGTTCTTTTTTATGGCTGTGTAGTATTTCATGGTGTATGTGTACCATATTTTCCTTATCCAGTCTACCATTGATGGGCATCTAGGTTGATTCCACGTCTTTGCTACGTGAATAGAGCTGTGACAAACATATGCATACATGTGTCTTTATGGTAGAACAATTTATATTCCTTTGGGTATATACCCAGTGATGGGATTGCTGGGTCAAATGGTAATTTTATGTTAAGTTATTGAAGAAATCACCAAAACGCTTTCCACAATGACTGAACTAATTTACATTCCCATGAGCAGCATATAAGCTTTCTCCTTTCTCTGTGACCTCTTCAGCATCTGTCATTTTTTGACATTTTAATAACAGCCATTCTGACTGGTATGAGATGAAACCACATCTCACTGTGGTTTTGATTTGCATTTCTCCATAATTAGTGATGTTGAGCATATTTTCATATATTTACTGGCCTCATTTATGGCTTATTTTGAAAAGTGTCTGTGCAAGTCCTTTGCCTGCCTTTTCATGCACCTGTGTGTTTTTTCCTTGTTAGCTTGTTTTAAGTTCCTTATAAATTCTGGATATTAGGCCTTTATTGGATGCATAGTTTGCAAATAGAGTCTCCCTTTCTGTAGGTTGCCTGTTTACTCTGTTGATACTTTCTTTTGCTGTGCAGAAGCTCTTTAGCTTAATTAGGCCCCGTTTGTCAATTTTTGTTTTTGTTGTGATTGCTTTTAGTGTCATCATCATGAAATCTTTGCCAGGGTCTATGTCCAGAATCATATTTCCTAGTCTATCGTCCAGGGTTCTTATGGTTTTAGGTTTTACATTTAAATCTTTAATCCATCTTGAGTTGATTTTTGTATATGGTGAAAAGAAGGGGTCCAGATTCAATCTTCTGCATATGGCTAGCCAGTTATCCCAGCATTATTTATTGACCAGGGATTTCAGACCCCATTGTTTGTCTTCGTCGACTTTGTCAAAAACAGATGGTTGTAAGTATGTAGCATTGTTTCTGGGCTCCCTATTCTGTTCTATTGATTTATGTGTCTGTTTTTGACATCAGGTAATGTGATACCTCCAGCTTTGTTCTTTTTGCTTAGAATTGCCTTGGTTATTTGGATTGTTTTTTTTTTTTTGGTTCTATATGAATGTTAGCTTCGAAGATCAGACAAGAGTAAACACATTCAGGGTGGTATGGCTGTAGACAGGTTCCATATGAATTTTAAAAAAGTTTTTTTCTAATTCTGTGAAGAATGTCATTGGTAGTTAGATAGGAATAGTATTGAATCTGTAAATTGCTTTGAGCAGTATGGCTATTTTAACAACATTGATTCTTCCTATCCATGAGCATAGAATATTTTCCATTTGTTTATATCATCTCTGATTTCTTTGAGCAGTGTATTGAAATTCTTGTTTTAGAGATGTTACACCTCCCTTGTTAAATGGATTTTTAGGTATTTTATTCTTTTTATGGTTATTGTAACTGGGATCGCATTCTTGATTTGGCTCTCAGCTTGGATGTTGTTGGTGTATGGAAATGCTACTGATTTTTGTACATTAATTTTGTATCCTGAAACTTTGCAAAAGTTGTTTATCAGTTTAATGTGCTTTTAGGCAGAGAGTATTGGGTTTTATAGCTATAAAATCATGTCATCTGCAAACAGAGATATTTGACTTCCTCTCTTCCTATTTGGATGCCCTTTATTTCTTTCTCTTGCCTGATTTCTCTGGCTAGGACTTGCAGAACTATGTTAAAATAGGGGTGGTGAGACTGGGCATCCTTGTCTTGTTCTGGATGTCAAGGGGAATGCTTCTAGCTTTTGTCCATTCAGTATAATGTTGGCTGTGGGTTTTTTATAGCTGGCTCTTATTATTTGGAAGTATGTTCCTTTGATGCCTAGTTTGTTGAGGGTTTTTAACATGAAGGATGTTGAATTTTATCAAAAGCTTTTCTGTACCTATTGAGATGATCATATGGTTTTGTTTGTAGTTCTGTTTATGTGATGAATCACATTTATTGATTTGCGTATGTTGAACCAACCTTGCATCCCAGGGAAAAGCCTACTTGATCATGGTGGATTAGCTTTTTGATGTGCTGCTGGATTTGGTTTGCTAGTGTTTTGTTGACGATTTTTGCATCTATGTTCATCAAGAATATTGGCTTAAAGTTTTCTCGTGTGTGTGTGTGTGTGTGTGTGTGTGTGTGTGTCTTTCTGTCTGTCTGTCAGGTTTTAGTATCAGGGTGATGCTGATCTCAAAGAATGAGTTACAGAGCAGTCCATTTTAAATTTTTTGGAATAGTTCCAGTAGGAATAATACCAGCTCTTCTTTATATATCTGATAGAACTTGGCTATGACTCCATCTGGTCCTGGGCTTTTTCTGGTTGGTAGGGTTTTTATTACTTATTCAATTTTGGAACTCATTGTTGGTCTGCTCAGGGATTCAATTTCTTCCTGGTTCAATCATGAGAGGTTGTATGTTTCTAGGAATTTATTCATTTCTTCTAGGGTTCTAGTTTGTGTGCATGGAGATGTTAGTTGTCCCTGAGATTTTTTTTTGTATTTCTGTGGTGTCAGTGATAATGTCCCCTTTGTCATTTCTCATTGTGTTTATTTGGATCTTCTCTCTTTTTCTATTAGTCTAGTATGAGCAGTCTATGTATTTTATTTATTCTTTTAAATAATGAACAAACCAAACTTGTTAATCTTTTATATGGTTTTTCATAGCTCAATTCCTTTCAGTTCAGCTCTGGTTTTGGTTATTTCTTGTTTTCTGTTAGCTTTGGAGTTGGTTTGCTCTTGTTTCTTTAGTTTCTCTAGATGTGATGTTAGGTTGCTAATTTAAGATCTTTCTAACTCTTTGATGTGGGCATTTAATACCATAAACTTCCCTCTTAACACTGCATCAGCTGTATTCCAGAAATTCTGGTATGTTGTATCTTTGTTCTTATTAGTTTCAAACCATTTCTTGATTTCTGCCTTAATTTCATTGCTTACCCAAAAGTAATTCAGGAGCAAGTTGTTTAATTTCCATGTGATTGTATGATTTTGAGCAATTTTCTTAATATTGATTTCAATTTTTATTGTACTGTGGTCCAAGAGTGTGATTGGTATGATTTCAGTTTTTTTGAATTTGAAAAGGATTGCTTTATGGTTGGGCATGTGGTCAATTTTAGATCATCTGCCATGTGCAGATGAGAAGAATGTATATTCTGTTGTTTTTGAATAGAGAGTTCTGTAGATGTCTATTAGGTCCATTTGGTCAAGTGTCAAGTTCAGGTCCTAAATATCTTTGTTAGTTTTCTGCCTTGATGATCTTTCTAATACAGTCAGTGGGCTGTTGAAGTCTCCCTCTGTTACTGTGTGGTTATCTAAATCTCTTTCTAGGTCTCCAAGAACTTGCTTTATGAATCTGGGTGCTCCTGTGTTGAATGCATATATATTTAAGGGAGTTAGGTCTTCTTGTTGAATTGAACCCTTTACTATTATGCAATGCCTTTCTTTGTTTATCTTTTAAAATTTTTGTTGGTTTAAAGTCAGTTTTGCTTGAAATTAGAATAGCAATGCCTGCTTTTTTTTTTTTCTGTTTTTCATTTGCTTAATGGATTTTTCTCCATCCATTTATTTTCATCCTGTGGGTATCATTGCATGTGAGATGGGTCTCTTAAAGACAGCATACAGTTGGGTTTTGCTTCATTATTCAACTCACCACTCTATGCCTTTTAACTGGAGTATTTAGTCTATTTACATATAAGGTTAATATTGACATATGCGAATTTGATCCTGTTATGTTGTTAGCTGGTTATTATGCAAACTTGTTTGTATGGTTGCTTTATAGTGTCAGTGGTCTGTGTATTTAAGTGAATTTTTTTGGCGGTCCGTGTTGGTCTTTCCTTTCCATATTACTCCCTTCAGAACCTCTTGTAAGGCAGGTCTGGTAGTCAAATTCTCTTAGCATTTGCTTGCCTGAAAAGTATCTTATTTATCCTTTGCTTATGAATTCTGTTTCTCTTTTTTTTTTTTTTCTTTTTAATTTGAATTTTTTTTATTGATCATTCTTGGGTGTTTCTCGCAGAGGGGGATTTGGCAGGGTCGTAGGACAATAGTGGAGGGAAGGTCGGCAGATAAACAAGTGAACAAAGGTCTCTGGTTTTCCTAGGCAGAGGACCCTGCGGCCTTCCGCAGTGTTTGTGTCCCTGGGTACTTGAGATTAGGGAGTGGTGATGATTCTTAACGAGCATGCTGCCTTCAAGCATCTGTTTAACAAAGCACATCTTGCACCGCCCTTAATCCATTTAACCCTGAGTGGATACAGCACACGTTTCAGAGAGCACAGGGTTGGGGGTAAGGTCACCGATCAACAGGATCCCAAGGCAGAAGAATTTATCTTAGTACAGAACAAAATGAAAAGTCTCCCATGTCTACTACTTTCTACACAGACACGGCAACCATCCGATTTCTCAATCTTTTCCCCACCTTTCCCCGCTTTCTATTCCACAAAACCGCCATTGTCATCCCCGCCCGTTCTCAATGAGCTGTTGGGTACACCTCCCAGACGGTGTGGTGGCCGGGCAGAGGGGCTCCTCACTTCCCAGTAGGGGCGGCCGGGCAGAGGTGCCCCTCACCTCCCGGACGGGGCGGCTGGCAGGGCAGGGGGCTGACCCCCCCACTTCCCTCCCGGACGGAGCGGCTGGCCGGACAGAGGGGCGCCTCACTTCCTAGTAGGGGCGGCCGGGCAGAGGAGCCCCTCACCTCCCGGACGGGGCGGCTGGCCGGGCGGGGGGTTGAGCCCCGCACCTCCCTCCCGGACAGGGCGGCTGGCCGGGCGGTGGGCTGACCCCCCCACCTCCCTCCCGGATGGGGCGGCTGGCTGGGGGGGGGGCTGACCCACCTCCCTCCCGGACGGGTGGCTGGCCCGGCAGAGGGGGTCCTCACTTCCCAGTAGGGGCGGCTGGGCAGAGGCGCCCCTCACCTCCCAGACTGGGCGGCTGGCCGGGCGGGGGGCTGACCCCCCACCTCCCTCCCGGACGGGGTGGCTGGCCGGGCGGGGGCTGACCCCCCCCACCTCCCTCCCGGACGGGGGGCTGACCCCCCCACCTCCCTCCCGGACGGGGCGGCTGCCGGGCGGAGACGCTTCTCACTTCCTAGACGGGGTGGCTGCCGGGCAGAGGGGCTCCTCACTTCTCAGACAGGGCGGCTGCCGGGCGGAGGGGCTCCTCACTTCTCAGACGGGGCGGTTGCTGGGCGGAGGGTCTCCTCACTTCTCAGACGGGGCGGCTGGGCAGAGACGCTCCTCACCTCCCAGATGGGGTCGCGGCCGGGCAGAGGCGCTCCTCACATCCCAGACGGGGCGGCGGGGCAGAGGCGCTCCCCACATCTCAGACAATGGGCGGCTGGGCAGAGACGCTCCTCACTTCCCAGATGGGATGGCTGCTGGGAAGAGGCGCTCCTCACTTCCTAGATGGGATGGCGGCTGGGCAGAGACGCTCCTCACTTTCCAGACTGGGCAGCCAGGCAGAGGGGCTCCTCACGTCCCAGACGATGGGCGGCCAGGCAGAGACGCTCCTCACTTCCCAGACGGGATGGCGGCCGGGCAGAGGCTGCAATCTCGACACTTTGGGAGGCCAAGGCAGGCGGCTGGGAGATGGAGGTTGTAGCGGAGCTGAGATCACGCCACTGCACTCCAGCCTGGGCACCATTGAGCACTGAGTGAACCAGACTCCATCTGCAATCCCGGCACCTCAGGAGGCCGAGGCTGGCGGATCACTCGCGGTTAGGAGCTGGAGACCAGCCCGGCCAACAAAGCGAAACCCCGTCTCCACCAAAAAAGTACGAAAACCAGTCAGGTATGGTGGCGCATGCCTGCAATCGCAGGCACTCGTTAGGCTGAGGCAGGAGAATCAGGCAGGGAGGTTGCAGTGAGCCAAGATGGCAGCAGTACAGTCCAGCTTCGGCTCGGCATCAGAGGGACACCGTGGAAAGAGAGGGAGAGGGAGACCGAGAGGGAGAGGGAGACCGAGAGGGAGAGGGGAGAGGGGAGAAGGGAGAGGGGAGAGGGGAGAGGGGAGGGGGAGAAGGAGAGGGAGAGGCAGGGCTGCCTGTTTCTCTTTAAATATAAAAATGCAATACCCTAGGAGGGACATGTTTTATTTATATGTGTATGAATAAATTGGCACAAGAAACAGTACAAAGAATTTTAACATATGCCCATTAAATAAATGAATGAATGGTTCAACTAGCCACATTGTTTGCTTTTCTTTATTATTTTTGGACCTGATTATTTTATTTATACATATCTATGTAGTTTATTTCCTCAAAGGTTATGATGGAATTAAATTATTGGCCAATTGATAACAAAGTAATTTAAAGACTCATACCTGATAGGAATGTCATGTGCAGAGTTTAACTTTTGAGTATAGTTCCAAGGTAGTTTTCTCCTTGAAGGTTTGCTGCTTTTTCTGTAGCTAGTAGTAGTAACTTCAGCTTTGCAGTATTTGATATCAGACATAAATATAAATTCATTGCCAGTATAAAGCTTGTAAATACTGTGCAAGAATGTTTATCTATACATAAACTTTTAATAGGACCTACATGCTAGAGAGGGATCTTTGTATTTGGCGCTTATGTCCAAGGAAATTAGCTGGTACAATACCACATATCGGATATGGCAATGTTCAGTTATCAGTACCAGAAACCCAAAATACCAGTGAGTTAAACGAGAGTAATTTATTTACATCTTAAGTAAAATTCCAAAATAGGCAGTACAATGCTGATAAGAAATATCTGTTCCACAAAGTTCTTGGGAAAGAGATTCCTCCTCCCTTTTTGTTTGGCAATGTGTAGATTTCCATTCCTAGCGTCTACTCATGGTCCTAGTTCACTGCTCCATTCACATTTTCTAAGGCTGGGGGGTGGTGGCGGGGGGTTGGGGGAAATTGACCAAAAAAGGAGGAAAATATGTGGGCCAACTACTTTTACAGAAAGGTTTTGCTTATATGTTCTTGCTAGAATCCAGTCACATGCTGCTTGAAGATGCAATGGAAGCTAGGATATGTAGTTCTTATTCTGGGTGTCTATGGGTCTAACTAAAAAGTCAAGAGTTCTTTATTATGGAAAAGGAGAAGAACTACTGGGGGAAATGAGGAGTCTGTACCACCATATGAGAGTTACTTTAGGTTAAAGATGCTCTGAAAATAAAAATGGAAATACTAAGTCATTGGAGAATACCTTAAGGTAGTCATTGGAATTTTTTAATATAAAAATCACAATGTGCTCATATCTTATAACTTGCCATGTGCCCTGTCAACTTAGTAAATTAAATATACTTGGAATAAGGGACAGAAAAATAAGTAAATAGTAAAAATAACACATTATCCATATGTCCTAATAATCTATTTATCAAAGCAGGTCAGGTATAAAGAATATGAATTGTTCAAAATTATCTGAAATTGAAATAAAACTCCTTAATAAAATAGAACTTCAGTAGTTTTATATCCCTATATCATTGCTTTGAGTGTGGAAAAAAGAACAGTACACTTCACTGAAACAAAGGAGATGAACTAGAAATCCTGACAAGCATCATTTAACAGAAGGTGGGGGCTGGTTGGGCTAGCATCAAAAAGAATTAGGAAGACATGCAAATGTTGCAGAACAAAAACTTTGTGATAAATACTGAATATAACTATGTTACCTTTTGAAAGTCTTGGTTATTTTCATATTGAATATGAATAAATTTTAAAAATGAGGAAGAAATATCTAGAAACATATTTCACGCCAGTTTAAAGAAAATATTAATTCAACAATGTTCCAACTTCAGTGGTCTCTTAAATCATTATTTGTATCACTTGTTTTTCACAACTTTCTCCTTTTTTGCACCTGCACTTGCAAGATATGAAAGATGTGCTACTCTTCCCCCCACAAAAAAACCCGCTTTATTCAATTTATACCTTACTTTGTGAAGGAAAGCTTAGTGTTCCTAGAACTTCTGCTCTTGAAAGGATTGAATTCTCTAATGCTACATTCAAACAAATGTCATTTATTAAATAGTTATATTTCCTCATTAATGTTAGCATTTTTCTCATCTACCTGCTATGAAATTGTAACCAAAATAAAACTTTAGAGGCAGTGTGAGGCATCTACTGCCCACTCTTTTCCTTTCTTTGCGTCTGAGAGCAGCTGTGTTTTAGAATAAGGGGGATGATAACACCAAAGAGGTCTTTCTTGGTCTCCTCCTCAAATATAGCTAGGAATTTAAAATAATGTTGACATATATTTTGTAGCACACAAATATTAACTTTTGGTCGTTAACATTCTGTGCAATAAAATTAGGTCCCTCCCCCGGTCCCCACCCTCACTCAAACTATCCTTTTCTCTTTCTAATTAAGTTTAAATGAATTGGAAGTTATTCATCCTTCTTCTTTCCTTTGGGTTACCAGGGCGATGGGATGCAGATATCCAACAGTCATGGAGATTCTAACAATGCCAAGAGAATGTATTCCCTTTATATTTATTTAGTGAGAGGTCTCAAAAAATTAAGGGCAGGAAGTGATTGTTAGAAGAGTGAAGAGCAGGAGTGGATTCAGGTTTTGTGATGCCTGAGATTTATTTAATATGGGAGAGAGGAGGTTCCTGCTTAAGAATAAAAATACAAAATATCTTTACAAGCTTACAAAAATGATCATGCAACCATGGTGGTCTATGCAAAGGAGAGGTCCCTAAATGTTTAGCATCACAGAAAGTCCACATCTGGTTCAGTGTTCAGATGTATTTTGTGCAGATTTTTGCCACTGATTTATCTTATACTTCACCTAGTCCCCCTTTTGACTCACTAGACTTTTTTGGGCAAAACACTGGGTTTGTTAAATGACAGAATAGAAGTTGGGCAGTGCAGCCCAACTCTTCATGATTCCTGTACAGCCTATTTCAGCCTATGTGCCGGAACCCAGAGGCTGCCCTTTTGTTTTTTTCTAGCAAGAGATAATATGAACTTAACCTGGAAGGGGAATGATTAATGAATAAATTTTCCCTTGTAAAGAATCATGTTAGATGGTACCCATTTATCCTATGAATATTTATTATCCATTATAAACAAAGTATTTCAAGTAGAATTCCAAATGCCATGATATCTAAGACAACAATCCTTTAACTTCTATGAATTTTTCATAAGCTAAGTTAGGAAATAGAAAGTTGGGTGTTTTTGTGTATGTGAATATAAATGATAATTTCATCAGTAAAGCGGGCAAGTATTATTACTTAAAAAAATTCCTGACACTTTATATTTACAGGCTACTAATAAATAGTTTAACTATAAAGTAACGAGCTTCATCTTTAGCTAAACACACTCATATTTTGAAATAAATATGTTTCTTCTTTAAAATGGAGTCGTTTTTGAAAGTGATATGCTTATGCATTTATTCCAATATTATTGAATTTTGTTGGAATTTCCCACATAATTTGTTTTATACATACATATATGTATGCATGTATGTATAAATAAAATGTAAATATGTGTTTTATCTCATGTGTGGCCTATATGAATATACATGCACACACATACACATACATTCATGCACAAAGTTTTATCCTCTGCATGACCTATATATGTAAAACTACAAAATATACTGCTGTGGTTGTATTTATTTTTGTGTGCAGATATAAGAGTAAAATAAATAAAGGGAAATAACATAAACATGGATATGGGACATCCTCAATATTGTTACAATGTTGTAATTTGTAATTGTAAGGTGTAATTTCTCCATATTAATCTATAATTAAATGTAATTCCAAGTCTTGTTTTTGGAATATTTTACTTTAGAATTTGAAAACTTAAAAAGGCATTTTATAGTGCATTTAGAAAAAATGTATAAGAAATATTAAGAAAATGTTTCAAAAAAAAACCAAGAAATTTATCCTATCATTGAAATATATTTTAATATGTAAGACTTCAGCAATGAACATGTTCCATATTAACATATATTATGTAATCAATTCAGTATTGTACCAGTGTCAGATTGTACAATTAAAAATAAACCAAAATATCTATAATGATTTAGTGTGTGGATACGGTGGCATGGAAAGCCATTGAGCAAGGTCACATAATAATAACAGCATTTACTGGTTACTCACTGTGTTCCAGGTGCTGCTGTAATCACTTGACATATATTATTTCATCTCCACAGTAAACTTAGAAGGTTGCATTAGTCTTATTTTGTAGACGTGGAAACTAAGGCATAGAGAGATTATGCAAATTGCCAAAGATCATATCGGTGGTAAGTGAAACAGGCAGATTTTTAAAAACGTTTAATTTTTAATTTTTCTTTCCTTGTCTTATGGTGTTAGTAACAGGCAGGTTTTGAATCTAGGCAGTCTGGCTCTCAATTCAAGCTCTTAGCCACCATGTATTATTGTTCACAATGACCCTTATCCATTTTGGATGCTGATTATTTCAAAACATTGTTAGTATCATAGGCAAAAATTTTAAAAATGTTTTTCATTTTTAATTGAATTTTTTAATAATGGGACTGAACTTTTAAAATTATTATATATTTATATTTCTTTTTTGATGAATTGTCTGTTCCCACTGATATACTCAAATTTTTCTTATGGTTTGTAAGAGTTCTTCATATAGTAAGGATATTAACTTTTTATCTGTCATACAGATGGCTTTAGCCAAACTGGGCTTTACTTAATTTCCCCAAATGGCATATTCTGTCTTATCCCTGATTCATCTATCATACTGTCTTCTCTCTTTCTGAAACACGTTTTTCCTTTGTAACCTGTGCTCTGCAGGATCTGTTTAAACATCTCTTAGTAAAGCATTGCCTGAACTGAACAAAGAGGCACTTCTTCTAGGCAAGTAAAATGCCTTGTGTTTCCCCTCTCTGAAACACAGATCATACCTATATTTATTAATCCAAAATTTATCCATCCTAATAGAAGGCAAATTACCTGAGAATCACCATCTTGTTAATCTTGTCCACCTCTACAACTGGGGCAGAGCTTGGTACTCAAAATTGGGGAATTTCATACATATTTCTAAATTCATACATTTAGAAATATGTATGAAAAGCCTAACCTTTAACTCAGCAATTTCAGATCCACAAATATTTTTAAAATAAATAATTGGACAAGTATACAAAGATGTATATATGAAGTGGCTTGTTTCTTCACAGTTACAGTACTAGAAGATATGAACCATGACAATTTCTAACAACAAGGAATTGATAAATAAATTGTTCTACCTGGTTCAACCTTGGGAGATTGTATGTTTCCAGGGATTTATTCATTGTGTCTAGGATTTCTAGTTTGTGCACATAGAGATGTTCATAGTTATTTTTGATGATCTCTTTATATTTCTGTGGTATCAGTTGTAATGCACCCTTATCATTTTGGATTGTGCTTATTTGAATTTTCTCTCTTTTTTTCTTAGTTAAACTAGCTACTGGTCTATTGATTTTATTTATCTTTTCAAAGAACCATCTTTTAATTTTGTTGATCCTTTGTATCTTTTTTTTTGGTCTCAATTTCATTTAGTTCTGTTTTGATCTTTGTTATTTATTTTCTTCTTCTAGCTTCGGGTTTGGTTTGTTCTTGCATTTCTAGTTCCTTGAGTTATAATGTTAGGTTGTCAATTTGAGATCTTTCTATATTTTTAATATAGGGGTTTAATGCTATAAAAATTTCTCTTAGCACTGCTTTTGTTAAATCCAAGAGGTTTTGGTATGCTGCGTCTCTGTTTTCATTCATTTTAAAAACATATTTGATTTCTGACTTAATTTCATTATTTACTCAAAAATCATTCAGGGTCAAGTTGTTTAATTTCCATGTACTTGTGTATTTTTGAGAGTTCCTCTTGGTATTGATTTCTAATTTTATTCCACTGTGGTCCAAGACGGTTCTTGATAGGATTTTGATTTTTTAATATTTATTGAGATTTGCTTTGTGGCCAAGCATATGGTCAATTTTGGAGACTGTTCCATGCTCAGATGAGAGAAATGTATATTCTGTGGTTGTTAGGTAGAATGTTCTGCAAATGTCTATTAGCTCTATTTTGTCCAGAGTCCAACTTAAGTCCAGAGTTTCTTTGTTGACTTTCTGACTTGATTACCTGTTTTGTGTTGCTAGTAGGGTGTTGAAGTCCCCACTATTTTTGTATTTCTGTCAGCCCCTTTTCTTAGGTCTAGTAGTATTTATTTTATGAATCTGGTTGCTCCAGTGTTGGGTGCTATTTATTTATGATAGTTAAATCTTCTTGCTTTATTTAATCCTTTATCATTATATAATACCCATTTTCTCTTATTTTCCTGTTGTTGGTTAAAAGTCTGTTTTATCCAGTATAAAAATGGCTACTCTGCTTGCTTTTTTTTTTTTTTTTTTCCATTTGTATGATATATCTTTTTCGACTCCCTTGAGTCTGTCTTTAGTTATTTGGGAGGTCCCTTGTAGGCAGCAGATAGTTGGGTCTTTTTTTCTTTTTAATCAAATTTGCCACTCTCTATATTTTAAGTGGAGTATATAGGCCATTTATGCTCAAGGTTAGTATTGATATGTGAGGTTTTTTTTTTCTCCTGGTCATAGTTTTGTTAGCTAGTTGCTTTGGGGTCTAAACTGTGTAATTACTTTATGGGATCTGTGGACTTTCTACTTATGTGTGCCTTTATTATGGCAAGTATCACCTTTTCATTTCCATGTTTAGGACTCCATTGACCATTTCTTGTAGGACCTGTCTAGTGGTGAGAAATCCCTTAGCATTTGTTCTTTTGGGAAATACTTCATTTCTTCTTCATTTATGAATCTTAGTTTGTCAGGATATAAAATTCTTGACTAGCAATTTTTTCTCTTTTAAGAGCTTAAAGATAGGCCACCAATCTTTTCTGATTTGTAAGGTTTGTGCTGAAAAGCCTGCTGTTAGTCTGATGGGATTTCCTTTGTAAGTGATTTGATGCTTCTGTCTAGCTGCCTTTAAGATTTGCTTTTTCATGTTGACCTTGGATAGTCTAATGACTACATGGCTTTATGATATTCATCATGTAGAGTATCTTGCAGATATTCTTCGCATTTCTTAAATCTGGATGTCTACATCTGTAGCCAGATCAGGGAAATTTTCCTGAATTATTCCCTCAAATATGTTTTCCAAACCTCTTTTTCTTCTTTTCCCTCAGGAATGCCTAAAAGTTGTAAGTTTGATCACTTTACAAAATCCCATATTTCTCAAAGTCTTTGTTCACTTTTAAATATTGTGTTTTCTTTATTTTTGTCTAACTGTGTTAATTTGAAAGACAGATGTTGAAACTCTGATATTCTTTCTTCTGCTTGGTGTAGTCTTGTTAAAACTTTCAATTGTATTGTGAAATTCCTTCAGTGTATTTTATATTTCCAGAAGTTCTGTTTTTCAGTCAAACATAACTGTTTGTTTTCAATAAAACGGAACTCCTGATCTGTTTTTATGCCTTTTTGTGTTATTTTTCAACTTTCACTTAGATCTCACTGAACTTGCTTACAACCCATACCTTAAATTATTTATCTGTCGTTTCAAAGTTTTCATTTTGGTTAGGACCCATTGCTAGAGAGCTGGTGTGGTCTTTTGGGGGTATCACAGCATTTTGTTTCTTCATGGTGCTGGAGTTCTTGTGCTGGTTGCTTCTTATCTGTAGAAACTGTCACTTTTTACATTTGAATTTACTTTCATTTGGGTGAGTTTTTTTCTTCTCTCCTTGAGAGTGTGACTGTTGCCTATGCTGGCTTTTTTTTTAATGTAGTTTCATGTGGCCAAATCTCTGTTTGAATTAGTTGGTTATAGATAGTGTAGTGGTTTTCTCTAATGCTAGTTGTTTGTAGGTTGTAGTAGCAGTGTGCTGTATGTGTGATCAGGTTCACTGTTTCCAATAAAGATAGAGAGAGCCATATTTTGTTCTCCAGCACCTCTGTCAGCAGGAATTACATTGGGTTGGGCAGTTCACCATGCATGCCAGTAGGTGGTGCTTGTGAGTGACAACTGGCTGTCGTACACGTACACTAATGTCAGAAGTTGTGATGGACAGTACGGTTTGACCTCCCAGCCAATAGATGGTGCTTGTAGGCAAGATGAAGTTACAGTGATGGTAATGGCTTTTTTTTTTTTTTTTTTTTTTTTTTTGAGGCAGAGTCTTGCTCTGTCACCCAGGCTGGAGTGCAGTGGTGTGATCTCGGCTCGCTGCAACCTCAACCTCTGCCTCCTGGGTTCAAGCAATTCTCCTGCCTCATCTTCCAGAGTAGCTGGGATTACAGGCACCTACCAACATGCCTGGCTAATTTTTGTATTTTTGGTAGAGATGGAGTTTCACCATATTGGTCAGGCTGGTCTTGAACTTCTGACCTCAGGTGATCCACTCACCTTGGCCTCCCAAAGTGCTGGGATTACAGGCGTGAGCCACTGTGCCCAACTGGTAGTGGAATTTGTATTTGGCCTTTGTTGATAGGGGAAGTACTGGGGTGTCCCTGGCGATGGGTGGGGTGTGTGGCTCTCAGGGGTCACTCCCCACACTGCTGCCAAGGCAGCTAGAGGCAGCAAAGCTGGACACTGCTGGGTCAGGCTGGTTCAGGCTCTCTAGGGCAGGTACAGGTGCTGACCTTGGTGAAGTTCTGGGGCAGCTCTCAGGCCACTGGGACAACCGTCCAGGGAAGGGCAGAGGCATCTCTCCTGTGCCACAGAGCCAGCTCAGAGGAAGAGGGGTGGCCTGGGGTTTTCAGCGCAGTAGGGAGCTGTGGGGCCTGCTCAGCTCCCACACCCTGATCTGGTGGGTCTTCCTCCTCTCAGTGTCTGGCTCTGGCAACAGGCCCAACCAGTTAGGCTACTTCCAAGTCATCTATGCCCAGATCACTGAGCCATTCCAGGCATTCCAGAGTATAAAATTCCCTGTGGCAGAAAGTAAGGCTATCAGGCCAGACACATTCCAGGTCCTGTGAAAGGAGGGGTGCCCAACTCCTGCGTCATGACATGGACCTGCACTAAACTCTTCTCTGTGTTCTGACAGTGGGGGCTCCTCTCCTGCTAAAGATCAGGCCACTAGTCTCATCTTCATACCCCTAGGCGGTGTGGTCAAGTCCTGGGGAACTGGGACCAGACCAGCAGATTGTCCCCTGGCCACTCAGGGTCATGCACTGGCTGTGATGGAGGTGTTGAACTGCTCCTAGGCCACCAACAAACCACTCCAGGCAGGGCAGTAGAGACTGTGCTGTGGGTGCCCACTTGCCCCACCGTGGGAATGACAAGCAGATAGTCTTGAGAGGGACCAGCAGGCATGAGGGGCACATGATATGATGCATCTCAGTCCTGTGACAGTGATGGTGGGTTCTGTCTTGGGCCCATGAGCACACCCAGCCTCAAATCTCTCCTGGCCTCCACAGATGGCAGGAGCTGCAGCCACTTAGGGCATGACCCAGAGCCTCAGGGGATGGGTGCCTAGAGTTATGTTTTGCTATAGCTGCCCAGCACGCTGAAATCTTGAGGGCTCCATGAAGGTTTAAGCGGTGCCTCTGCTTGTTCTCCAGACAGCTCTCCTTGCCACTCCAAATATCTGCAGGAGTCATGGGAACTCCCGTAGCTAGGATCTCAGAGGTCCACGGTGGGAATGTGGTGCCCTGGGTTTCCTTCATTCATCCTTTCCCGGGGTTCAGTCTGGGTCTAGGGGTTGGTTCTGGCACCTAGCAACACCCAGCAGGATACTCCACTTCCTTCCTCTTCAATCACAGTGCCTTCCATCACATCTCTGTTACATTTCAGTGTTTTCTCTCTAAAGATCCATTTGAAGTGTGAAGGTTTACTGGATATTTTGCTTCCTCTCTGTGGAGGAGCCACATCTTAGCTGCATCTAGTCAGCTGTCTTGAATCTAATCTCCTGGACTCATTTCTATTCAATTGATCTCTATGTCTATCCTTATGCCAGTACCACACTGTCTTGATTACAGTAGATTTGCAGTAAGTTTAAAAATGAAGAAGTGAGAGCTTTCTAGCGTTGGTTTTCTTTTCCAAGATTGTTTTGGCTAACCTGGGTCCCTTGCATTTCTATAAAAATTTCAGAATCAGCTTTTCCATTTCTTCAAAAGAACCAGTTGAGATTTTACTAAGGATTGCACCACATCTGTAGATCCATTTGGGCAGTATTGCATCCGAACAACATTAAGTTTTCCAATCCATGTACAAAGAATGTCTACCATCTATTTAGGTCTTTAATCTGTCTCGATGGTATGTTCAGTATACAAGTCTTGTACTTAAAAATAATTTTATTTTTGGCCAGGTGCGGTGGCTCAAGCCTGTAATCCCAACACTTTGGGAGACTGAGGCGGGTGGATCATGAGATCAGGAGATCAAGACCCTCCTGGCTAACAGGGTGAAACCCTGTCTCTACTAAAAATACAAAAAATTAGCTGGGCGTGGTGGCACACACCCATAGACCCAGCTACTTGGGAGGCTGAGGCAGGAAAATTGCTTAAACCTGGGAGGTGGAGGTTGCAGTGAGCCAAGATCATACCACTGCACTCCAGCCTGGGTGACAGAGAGAGATTCCATCTCAAAAAAAAAAAAAAAGAAGTAATAATAATAATTTTATTCCTAAGTTTTTTTATACCATTGTATTTTTAGACTACTTAATTGAAATGGTTTTTTGTTTTTTAGTGTATACAGCTCGAATTATTTAACAAGCGGTTTTGGTAGGTTTTGTTGATTTATTTAGTCTCTTACCTAATATTTCAACTGTTGTAATTCCATGCAAAAAGATGTCATTACCACGTCAAACAAGACAATTTTATGTGAAAAGCCAGCTAGTTCATTTTGGCACTACTCTGTTACTACTTACATGCCAAGTTCATATTCTAACCAAATGTTTTCTAAACTTTATTATTTTCCTTTTGCCTTTATGACTCTTGTCATATCTACATGCCATTTAATATATTTTTTAAAAATCTAATCACTTTTTAAACATAAATAAATTTATCTAAAAGGAAATGTTATATCACAGATTTAAGAAGGTAGTAAATTAATGTCTTCTCCTATGCATTACAATAAATATATTACTATTAAAGTAAAAAATGTCATGCATGTGACACCTAAAATTATTTTTAGGTAATCGTAAGTTTACTACCCTTTGGGAAACTCTATTATAACCAGTTTAATTAATCGTATAAATAAAAATTTCCCTAAAATTTAATATTTCATGATGACCGGATGATTAGTGACAGAAAGCAAATAATTAGGGTCACTATCAGATCACCTATGCGAAAGACAGGAATAATTCTTCCAGTTCTTAATTGTGTTTTCTAGAGAATATCTAAGGAATATGTATGAGTTTATAATACTCCTATGAGTAAAATCTGCTCTCATTCAATGCTACATTGGATAGCATGGATTACATCATGCTGTTATCTCACAAATAGGATTAATTCCCTCTTAGAAGGTAGGGACTGTGTCTATTTAACTTGCCTCATACAGCATGCAGCATAACTTTATGTTCATTTGGGAACTTAATAAATGCAAGTGGATGATATAATTTATTTGTTAATCACCAATCATTCTGAAAAATAATGATGTACCCAGAGCTGATGGTTCCACCCCACAACAGTTGTTGTTTTTTTTAATTGAAGGTTGAACATTATTGAAAGGCCTCTACTTAAAAGGAAACACAATAGAAAATTGTTCAGCTTTTCAACAAAAGGAGGGAGCTTTTGTCTTTGATAATTAAATTCCTTTCAAAGATAAGAATTAACTGAACATTTATTTTACTTGGAGAGTAACAATATTTATTTAAACAACAATTTAAAGCATTTTATCTAAAAAAGAAAACACTTCTTGTCTGGATTTTTAAACAATCCTTCAGTAAAAATCAGGCCACAGAATTTTTCTCAGAAATAATTAGCTAAGGGTTGTGTAGTAGGGAAACAGAGACTCTTGGCTTATCTCCTTTTTTTTTTTGAGACAGTCTCACTCTTGTCGCCCAGGTTGGAGTGCAGTGGCGTGATCACGGCTCACTGCAACCTCCGCCTCCTGGGTTCAAGCTTCTCCTGCCTCAGTCTCCTGAGTAGCTGGGATTACAGGCACTCACCACCACACCCAGCTAATTTTTGTACTTTTAGTAGAGACAGGGTTTCACCA